>NC_000005.10:181177367-181327813 GCF_000001405.40 Homo sapiens | reverse complement strand
AGAGTCTGCTGTGAGGCCGAGGCCGAGGCCGGGCCCGTGCAGGCCTTCGAGAGGCAGGAGGCCGGGCCTGCAAAGGCCGACTGGAGATCAAGTTCTGCGCCTGAAGAGGCTGCCAAAAGTCAAAAGCGGGGCCTGGGAAGGCCGCCGAGAGCCATGAGCTGGGCTGGGCCGAAAGAGGCCACTGGGAGGCAGGAGGAGCTGGGCCTGGAGAGGCTGACTCGAGGAAGTTTTGCACCTGGAGAGGCCGTCGAGAGGACGGAGCTGGGCCCAGGGAGGCCGACTTGCTGCTCTTCCAGGCCCACTTCCAGGCCGACTTGAGGACGACTTGGGCCTGCAGAGGCCGCCGGGAGGCTGGAGCTAAGCCTGGAGAGACTGACTTCGGGACGATTTGGGCCTGCGGAGGCCGCCGGGAGGCCCAAGCTGGGCCTAGAGGAGCCCACCGACCGGAGGCCATTTGGGGCCTGCAGATGTCATCGGAGGGCCAGGAGCTGAGCCTGGAGAGGCCACCGCGAGGCCTGAGCTGGGCCTGGGGAGCTTGGCTTAGGGAAGTTGTGGGCCTACCAGGGCCGCTGGGAGCTGGGCAGGAGCTGAGTCCAAAGACGTTGTTGGGACCTGGAGTCGGGCCAGAGTCCGGCCTGGAGATGCAGCCGGGAGGAAGAGCTGGGCCCGGAGGGGGCGCCGGGAGGCTGCAAGTGGGTCTGAGAGGCCAACTTAAGGAGGCCTGGCCTCTGCCTCCCGCATTGCCCAGCTGTTCCTCCTGGCTGCATCTCCCACCTCCCAGCAAACAAGCTCTTTTGGCTCA
Source organism: Homo sapiens (assembly GCF_000001405.40). NCBI lineage: Eukaryota > Metazoa > Chordata > Mammalia > Primates > Hominidae > Homo > Homo sapiens. The sequence goes on along the minus strand of NC_000005.10, from coordinate 181,327,011 downwards.
GCTCCCGCCTGCGTTTGTAGACCCCGAAGTTTCTGCAACCAAGCTCTTCAGACCCACATCCCTTCTCCCAGTGACTGAACAGTCCCAGCTCCGGCTGGAGAAGGGCGTCTGCAGACCCCGCTGTTGCCTCCCAGGGGAGTCTCCAGGCCCAGCTCTCGCCCCACCGCGACCTCCCAGGCCCAAGTCCCTGCCTACCTCCCAGCAGCCCGAGTGCGATCCTGTTCCTCCCTCACGGTGGCCTGTTGAGGCAGGGGGTCACGCTGACCTCTGTCCGCGTGGGAGGGGCCGGTGTGAGGCAAGGGCTCACACTGACCTCTCTCAGCGTGGGAGGGGCCGGTGTGAGACAAGGGGCTCACGCTGACCTCTGTCCACGTGGGAGGGGCCGGGGTGAGGCAAGGGCTCACACTGACCTCTCTCAGCGTGGGAGGGGCCGGTGTGAGGCAAGGGGCTCACGCTGACCTCTGTCCGCGTGGGAGGGGCCGGTGTGAGGCAAGGGCTCACACTGACCTCTCTCAGCGTGGGAGGAGCCAGTGTGAGGCAGGGGCTCACGCCTCTGGGCAGGGTGCCAGAGGCATGAGTTGGGCATCAACAGGCCACCGTGAGGGAGGAGCTGGGCCGCACGCGGGCTGCTGGGAGGCAGGCAGGGACTTGGCCCCGGGAGGCCGCCGTGGGGGCAAGAGCTGGGCCTGGAGAGGCCCCTGGGAGGCAAGGGAGGGGCCTGCAGAGGCTGTTCTCCAACCAGTGCTAGAACTGTACAGGCCACCAGGAGGCAGGAGGTGGGCCCTCAGAGCTTGGCTGGAGAAAGTTCGGGGCCTACAAAGGCGGTTGGGAGCTGGGCAGGAGTTGAGCCAAAAGAGCTTGCTTACTTGCTGGGAGGCAGGGCCGGGAGAGCCCGACTTCAGGACAACTTGGGCCTGCGGCGGTCGCCGGGAGGCCCAACCTTGGCGTGGAGGAGCCCACCGACCGGAGACCATTTGGGGCCTGGAGATGCCATCGGAGGGCAGGAGCTCATCCTGGAGAGGCCACCGTGAGGCCTGACCTGGGCCTGGGGAGCTTGGCTTGAGGAAGCTGTGGGCCGACCAAGGCCGCCAGGAGATGGGTAGGCACTGAGTCCAAAGAGGTTGTTGAGAGGCAGGAATCGGGCCTGGAGACCCAACCAGGAAGAAGAGCTGGGCCCGGAGAGAACGCCCGGAGGGTGCAAGTGGGTCTGGAGAGGCCGACTTGAGGAGGTTCTGGGCCCGGAGAGGCCGCCGGAAGGGAAAAACTGGGCCTGGAAAGGCCGTTGTCAGGAATGAGCCCCATGGGCCTGAAGAGGCCACTGGCAGGCGGGAGCTGGGCCTGCCGAAGCGGCCGAGAGGCAGGAGCTTTGGACTCGGGAGGCCGCAGTGAAGCAACAGCTAGCTGGGCGTGGAGAGTCCGCTGTGAGGCAGAGGCTGGGCCTGTGCAGGCCTTCGGGAGGCAGGAGGCTGGGCCTTGTCGAGGCCTGCAGAGGCCACCGAAAGTCAAAAGCGGGGCTTGGGAAGGCCGCCGGGAGGCATGAGCTGGGCTGGGCCGAAAGAGGCCACTGGGAGGCAGGAGGAGCTGGGCCTGGAGAGGCTGCCGAAAGGCAGGAGCTTCGCCTGAGGATGCCACAGTGAGACACCATCTGGGTCTGGAGGGTCCACTGTGAGGCAGAGGCTGACCTGTAGAGTCCGACAGTAGACAGAAGTTGGGCAAAAGCCTGATTTGAGGAAGTTTTGGGCTTCAAGAGTCAGCCACGAGGCAGGCACTAGGCCTGGAAATGGCCTCACAGTCATGAGTTGGGCCTAAATGGGCCACTGTGAGGGAGGAGCTGTGCCTGTTGAGGCTGCTGGCAGGCAGGCAGAAATTTGGCCTGGGGCAGCTGCCATGAGGCAAGAGCTGGGCCTGGAAAAAGCCCCTGGGAGGCAAGAGCAGGGCCTGCAGAGGCTGTTCTCAAGTCAAAGCTGGGCCTGTTGATGCCACCGGGAAGCAGAAGGTGGGCCTGGAGAGTTTGACTTGAGGAAGTTTTGGGCCTACATTGGCCGCCATGAGCTGGACAGGAACTGGGCCAAAAAAGGCTGTTGTGAGGCAGCAGTTGTGCCTGTAGACCCAGCCAAGAGGAAGAGGTGGGCCTGGAGAAGCCCCCATGAGGCAGAGGTTGGGCCTGTAGACGCTGACAGGAGGCAGGAGCTGGGCCTGGACAGGTCAACTTGAGGAGATTTTGGGCCTTCATAGGCCACCAGGAGGCAGCAGTTGGGACTAGAGAGTCTAACTTGAGTAAGTTTTGGGCCCGGAGATGACGTCCTGGGACAGGAGTTGGGCCTGGAGAGGCCACCGTGAGGCATAAGCTGGATGTAGAGAGGCCAGTGTGAGGCAAGACCTGGGCCTGTCTAGGCTGCTGGGAGACAGGCAGGAATCTGGCCAGGGAAGGTTGCCATGAGACAAAAGTTGGGCCTGGAAAGGCCCTTGTGAAGCATGAGCTTGGCCTAAAGAGGCCACTGGGTGGCAGGAGCTGGGTGTGTAGAAGCTGCTGAAAGGTTGGGAGCTTGGCTTGGGGGGTCCACAGTGAGGTAGATGCTGGGCGTGAAGAATCTGCTGTGAGGCAGACGTTGGGACTGTAGAGGCTGACGGGAGGCAGAGGCTGGGCCTGGAGGGGCCACCAAGATGCAGGAGCTGGGCCTGGAGAGGCTGCAAAGAAGCATGAGCTGGGCCTGGTGAGGTCGACTTGAGAAAGTTCAGGGCCTGGAGAGAAGGCTGGGAGGCAGGAGCTGGGTCTAAAGAGGCCATTGTAACGATGGAGCTGTGCCTGTGGAGGCTGTTGTGAGGCAGTAGCCTCATCTGCGGAGGCTGCCGTGACGTAGGGTATGGGCCTAAATAGGCCATTGTGAGTCATGAGCTTGGTCTGTAGAGGCTGACTGGAGAAAGTTCTGGGCCTGGAGAGGCTGCCGGGAGGTAGGAGCTGGGCCAAAAGATGTAAGCACATTTGCATTTATTAGGCACTTTATTTCCATTATTACACTGTAATATATAATAAAATAATTATAGAACTCACCATAATGTAGAATTAGTGGGCGTGTTAAGCTTGTTTTCCTGCAACTGGATGGTCCCACCTGAGCGTGATGGGAGAAAGTGACAGATCAATAGGTATTAGATTCTCATAAGGACAGCGCAACCTCGATCCCTCACATGCACGGTTCACAACAGGGTGCGTTCTCCTATGAGCATCTAATGCTGCTGCTCATCTGAGAAGGTGGAGCTCAGGCGGGAATGTGAGCAAAGGGGAGTGGCTCTAAATACAGACGAAGCTTCCCTCACTCCCTCACTCGACACCGCTCACCTCCTGCTGTGTGGCTCCTTGCGGCTCCATGGCTCAGGGGTTGGGGACCCCTGCTCAAGTGCATCCAAAGCGACCCTTCCCACACCAGTCTTCACAGTGGTCAAGGGCAGCAACCACTTAGCTCCCAAGGCATGTGCCTCAGCTGGCATTTCGTCACAATCAACAGTAAGTGGTAGCTTGAGTCACTGTGAGGTCACCTACTGGAAATCACCAGCACCCCATTTCCCACTGGCAAAGAGCTCAGCACTGCCCCCTGGGAAACCAAACCTATGCCCAAATCCCATCTGTGTGGGTTTACCTCCTGGGACCCTTCCTAACATATTAGTCAGAGTCCAATCAGGAAGCATAAACCACTCAAAAGTTTAAAGTGGTAAAATTTAATACAGAGAATTATTCATTATAACAGGTGAACAGCATAATGAGAGATTGGCTAGCACAGAGTAAAGAGAACTCTAGAGAATATGGGACTAGCCCAGGCCAGGCATGGTGGCTCATGCCTGAAATTCCAGTAATTTCAGAAGCTAATGCAGGAGGATTGCTTAAGGCCAGGAGCTAGAGACCGGTCTGGACAACAGAGTGAGACCCTGTCTCTATCCAAAAGAAGAAAAAAGTTAGCTGGGGGTGGTGGTGCACACTTGTAGTCCCAGCTACTCGGAATGCTGAAGTTTGAGCCTGGGAGGTCAAGGCTGCAGTGAGGCATGATTATGCCACTACAGTCCAGCCTGGTGACAGAGCAAGACCCTGTCTCAAAGACCAAAACAGCAACAACCATTTACAGACAGAAAAGAAATAGAGCTAATAAGCTGAGGAAAGATGTTGAAATGTGACAAGTAAAGTAATATGAGTTCTTTTGTCTATGTAAAATAATCAAACAAAAAATGACTTACTAAATTATAATACCCTGTGCTGGCAAAGGTGCAGTGAAATGGGCACCTTCTTATACTATGAGGGGTGTTTAAATTGTGTATAAGCCTTCCCGGGTAAAGCCTGTCAATTTTTTAAAATAATGGAGACAGGGTCTCACCATACTGCCATACTGCCTCCTCCAACTCTTGGCCTCAAGCAATCCTCCTCTCTTAGCCTCCCAAAGTGCTAAGATTATAGCTGGGAGGCACCCAAAACCCTGTCAATTTACATCAAGGGTAAGGAGAATGTCCATTCACCATGACTCACAGTAATCTTACTTCTGGGGAGACAATTCAATCTAAACAAAAGGTCATCTGTACACACACAGTAAAAATCTGGGAGTAACTGAAGACAGAGTTGGTAAGTGAAATAAGAAACAGTTATAAGAAATTAAACTATGGTATCAATAGGCACCTGGTAAAAGGTCAGTTGATGTTAGCTGCTACTTTTTTGTTGTTTTGAGACAGGGTCTCACTCTGTCACCCAGGCTGGAGTGCAGAGGCCTGATCATGACTCACTGCAGTCTCAGCCTCCCTGGGCTCAAGTGATCCTCCCACCTCAGCCTCCCAAGTAGCTGGGACTACAGGAACATGCCACCACACTAGGCTAATTCATGTATTTTTCTGTAGGGATGGTGACTCCCCCTTTGTTTCCAAGGCCTATCGCAAACTCTTGGCCTCAAGCCATCCTCCTGCCTCAGCCTCCCAAAGTGTTGCGATTACCAGTGTGAGCCACCACACCTGGCCAGCTGCTACTTTTATCAATATTATTCTTATTCCACTCAATTAAAAGTTATTATTTTCAAGGCTATGCAACAGTATGTATCCCACAGCATAATTGTAAAAACATATAGTCGTCGTCCCTCAGTATACAGAATTAGTTCCAGCCCCCCATCTCTGCATATACCAAAATCCATGCTTACTCACGTTTCGCTGTCACCCCTCTGGAATCCACGTATACGAAAATTCCAAATGTTAGTTGGGCATAGTGGCAAGCACCTGTAGTCTCAGCCACGTGGGAGGTTGAGGTGGGAGGATCGCTTCAGCCTGGAAGGTTGAGGCTGCAGTCAGCTGCGATAGCACTACTACACTCCAGCCTTGGACAACAGAGGGAGACCCTGTCTCAGAAAAAAAAACAAAATAAAACAGGTTAGAAATTGTAATGAGGTCTGCTGGGCAAAATTCCATATAAGCAAAGTATAAATTAATAAAGCAAATCGTGATAAATTAGTACGATTGACTTTCTGGAGTTTCTGACAATAAAAGTAAGGAAAATGCAGAACACAAAGACAGAGAGTAAAAAGAGAAATTAGGAAAGCATTCTACATGTTGAATAGGAAGACACTGGCCATGTTCGTGCAGCGGCAGTATGTCGTGACATGACATACCTTGGAGAGAAGTTAACAGATGAGGAAGTTGATAAAAATCATCAGAGAAGCAAAATACTGGTAGCGACACTCAAGTAAACCATGAAATTTCCATAACTTATGTCAGCAAAGTGGGAATATTGTACAGTGTGTGTTGAAGTTCCTATACAACATTGTTTATCTGCCTTTTGTTTGTTTGTAAGGAATGTACATACTAAAAGTTCTTCTTGCTGTCAAAAGAATATGTGTGAATAAGTCATTTTAACTTATTCTTCTGTTTTTCTTTTATCTTCCTGCCATCATCCCACAGCCTTACTTTAGACATTTTTTTTTTAGAAAATTGAACAAGTGCTCCTTGTGGTGGCACATGCCTCGAGGATGGGAGGCAGGGGTGGAAGGGTCACTTGAGGCCATTAGTTTGACACCAGCCTGGCCAACAAAGTGAGACCCCGTGTCTACAAAACAATTTAAAAATTAGCCAAGTATCATCATGTATACCTACAGTCCCAGCTACCTGAACTTACTGAGAAAGTTCAGAGCCTGGAGAGAAGGCTGGGAGGCAGGAGCTGGGTCTAAAGAGGCCATTGTAACGATGGAGCTGTGCCTGTGGAGGCTGTTGTGAGGCAGTAGGCTCATCTGCGGAGGCTGCCGTGACGTAGGGTATGGGCCTAAATAGGCCATTGTGAGTCATGAGCTTGGTCTGTAGAGGCTGACTGGAGAAAGTTCTGGGCCTGGAGAGGCTGCCGGGAGGTAGGAGCTGGGCCAAAAGATGTAAGCACATTTGCATTTATTAGGCACTTTATTTCCATTATTACACTGTGATATATAATAAAATAATTATAGAACTCACCATAATGTAGAATCAGTGGGCGTGTTAAGCTTGTTTTCCCGCAACTGGATGTTCCCACCTGAGCGTGATGGGAGAAAGTGACAGATCAATAGGTATTAGACTCTCATAAGGACAGCGCAACCTAGATCCCTCACATGCACGGTTCACAACAGGGTGCGTTCTCCTATGAGAATCTAACGCTGCTGCTCATCTGAGAAGGTGGAGCTCAGGTGGGAATGTGAGCAAAGGGGAGTGGCTGTAAATACAGACGAAGCTTCCCTCACTCCCTCACTCGACACCGCTCACCTCCTGCTGTGTGGCTCCTTGCGGCTCCATGGCTCAGGGGTTGGGGACCCCTGCTCAAGTGCATCCAAAACGACCCTTCCCACACCAGTCTTCACAGTGGTCAAGGGCAGCAACCACTTAGCTCCCAAGGCATGTGCCTCAGCTGGCATTTCGTCACAATCAACAGTAAGTGGTAGCTTGAGTCACTGTGAGGTCACCTACTGGAAATCACCAGCATCCCATTTCCCACTGGCAAAGAGCTCAGCACTGCCCCCTGGGAAACCAAACCTATGCCCAAATCCCATCTGTGTGGGTCTACCTCCTGGGACCCTTCCTAACATATAACCTTCATAACATACTTGAGAGGCTGAGGTGAGACAATCGATTTAGCCCAGGAGTTTGAGATCAGCCTGGACGACGTAACTAAATCTCATCTCTACAAGGACGAGGTGGGAGGATCACTTGAGCCCAGGAATTTGTGGCCAGCCTGGGCAACAAAAGAAGACCCCATCTGGCCAACATGGCCAACCTGGCCACCACGGTGAAACTCTGACTCTACAAAAATGATCTGGGCATGGGTGACATGCATGTGTAGTCCTAGCTACTTGGGAGGTTGAGATGGGAGGATTGCTTGATCTCAGAAGGCCAAAGCTATAGTGAGCTATGATCACATCACTGCACTCCAGCCTGGATGGCACAGGGAGATTCTGTCTCAAAAAAAAGAAAAGAAATATATATTTAATCTCTGTCCCTGGTTCCTGGCACAGAGCTTCTAAAGCTCTTACAAAGACCTCAGTGATAGATGTGACAGGAGCATCTTTTGTTTTAATATTTGATCTTGGTCCCAGGTTTCTAACACAAGAGCCTCTAAGAACTTTGGGATCTCCAGCATGGTAAGAATGCATTTGGGGATGTTGTTGAGATGACTGGGTGACTGCAAGCTCCTAAATTTCTTCAAGAGGAGGGCTGATTACCATGCAACCACATGGTAAGAGGCTTGGAACTTTCAGCCTCATGCACTGAACTCCAGGGGGAAGAGGGGCTGGAGACTGACTTAATCACCAACAGCCAAAGGTTTTATCAATCATGCTTGCATAATAAAGCCTCCATAAACACCCTGAAAGGGGTTTGCAGAGCTTTCAGGGTTGCTGGACACAGGAGATGCTGGGAGGGTCGCATGTTCAACAGAGGGCATGGGAGCTCTGTGCCCCTCCGAACTTAACTTGCCCTGGGTATCTTTCTTTTTTTTGAGACAGGATCAGGCTCTTTTGTCCAAGCTGGAGTGCAGTGGCACAATCTCAGCTTACTGTAACCTAAGCCTCCCCAGTCCCCAGCTCAAGGTATCCTCTCATCTCAGCTTCCCTAGTAGTTGGAACTCTAGGTGCACAACACCACACCAGTTATTATTATTATTTTTTAATTTTTTATAGAGACAGGTTTTCACCATGTTGCCCAGGCTGGTCTCAAACTCCTGAGTTTAAGCGATCCTCCCACCTTGGCCTCCCAAAGTGCTGAGATTACAGGCATGAGCCACTGCATCCAGCATGCACGTCTCTTTCATTGACTGTTTCTGAGATGTATCCTTCACAATGAACCAGTAATAGGAAATGAACTGGCCAGATGTGGTGGCTCACATCTGTAATCCCAGCACTTTCAGAGGCTGAGGTGGGAGGATCACTTGAGACCAGGAATTTGTGGCCAGCCTGGCCAACACAACAAGACCCCATCTATACAAAAAATAAAAGAAACTAGCCAGATGTGGTGGTGCAGGCATGTAGTCTCAGCTACTAGGGAGGCTGAGGTGGGAGAACCACTGGAACCCAGACAATCAAGGCTGCAATGAGCTATGACTGCACCATTGCACACCAGCCTGGGCAACAAAATAAGACCCTCTCTCTCAGAAAAAAAGAAAATAAACTGTTTTTCTGAGTTCCGTAAACTGTTCTAGCAAATTATTAAACCCAAGAAGACAGTTACGGGAACCCCCGATTGGTAACAGGTTGGTCAAAAGTATGGTGACAACTTAGGACTTGCCATTGTCATCTGAAGTGAGGATGGCCTCGTGGGACTGAGCCCCTAACTTGTGGGGTCTGTGCTAACTCCAGGTAGTGTCAGAATAAAGTCATGGGATACCCAGTTAATATCCAGAGCACTGAAGAATCTGGTGTAGAAACTCCATACATACATTCAGTCGGAAGTGTGTGAGTAGAGACAAACATGGGCTTTTCTGTCACCTACCTGCTTAACTGCATAGGAGAGGCAATATGTGGTGCTCATGAACAAAGCAAACATTAAAGTCAGACCAGACCCAACATTTGACTCAGTCTTAATATCCAGGTGAGCCTGCGCAAATCATTCATTATTCCTAAGGTTTTCATCACTCCATTCATAAAATGGGGATAACTGTGGCACCTATATGTGATTCTGTGAGAATTAACGAAATATTATGCTTGGGGTTATTGTGATCATTATACCTGTTCCAAACTATTTGACAAGGACAGTGATGGATGAAGACATCAAAAAATCAGAAACTGCAATGAGGTCTCTCAGGCAAAATTCCATACAAGCAAATTACTGTGTCTACAAAGCATTCCTGCCACACTTAATTCACCATTCCCTGAACAAAATATGCCATCTTCGTTGTTCAGGTCTGTACAGTGCTGGTTTCCCTTCCCGGGCAGTTTGCGCTATCCCATCCCGGCCCATTCCCCATCCCTCCACCTCCCCCTTCCCTCCCCACTCTCATACAACTCTTCCTCATCTTTCAGGACTTGGCTTCAATGTCACCTTAACTGGAAGCTTCTCTCACTCTCCAGAAGAGCTTCCCATTGCACCTGATGCATGGGAAACATAATTTGATCATTTTTAAGTTACAGTCCAAATCTTTTTGTACCTGAATAACATGTTGCCCAGTCAGTCTCTCTTCCTGGATTCACAAGTCTTTCATGGTAGATCCAGCTGGAAGTGACAAAAAGACATCTTTTGACATAAAGGGATGACACAGACAGACATAAGTTCTTAAATGTCTTAAATGTCATGTGAAAATTAAACAGAATTCAAAGACTTGTGGGGAGCACTTAGGAAGTTACTGGGAATGTCATGAAGGGTTAATTTGTATTTTATTTTATTTTTTGAGACAGTCTCATTCTGTCACCTAGGCTGGAGTGCAGTGGTGCAATCAGGCTCACTGCAGCCTTGACCACCTGGGCTCAAGTAATCTCACTTAATTTTTATTTGGTTTAAGAAAGTCTTGGTTGAGGGTGGTGGCTTATGCCTGTAATCTCAGCACTTTGGGAGGCTGAGAGAGGTATATTACTTGAGGCCAGGAGTTTGAGATCAGACTGGGCAATATATTAAGACCCTGCCTCTACCAAAAAACAGAGTGAATGTGTGGAAGACAATTTTTCCACAGACTGGGAATGAGGGAATAATTTCAGGATGATTCAAGTGCATTACATATATTGTGCACTTTATTTCTATTATTACTACATAGTAATATATAATGAAATGATTCTACAACTCACTATAACGTAGACTCAGTGGGATCTCTGAGCTTGTTTTCCTGCAACTAGACTGTCCACCTGGGGTGATGGGAGACAGTAACAGAATATCAGGCATTAGATTCTCATAAGGAGTACACAACCTAGATCCCTCGCATGCACACTTCACAACAGAGTTTGTGCTCCTATGACAACCTAATGCTGCTGCTGATCTGACAGGACATGGAGCTCAGGTGGTCATGCAAGCGATGGGAGGGGCTAGAAATACAGATGAAGTTTCCCTTCACTCGCCTGCTGCTCACCTCCAGCTCTGTGGCCCTGTGGTTGGAGACCACTGCTCAAGTGCATTTGAAAGGAACCAACCCACGCCATTCTTCAGAGTCATCTTTACTGCTGCAGTGGTCAACTTGTAGCACCCCTAAGCTCGCAGGACATATGCTTCAACTGGCATTTCACAATCAACAGTATGTGGCAGCTTGAGTCATTGTGAGCTCACTTCCTGGAAATCACCAGCATCCCATATCCCATTGCAAGGAGCTCAGCACTGCTCCTTGGATAACCAAACCTATTCCCAAATCCCATCTGTGTGCGTCTATCTCCTGGTACCCTTCCTAGCATCAATTCTGTATTTGTAGGAGTCCAATCAGGAGACACAAACCACTCAAAAGTTTAAACTAGAATGAGCAAGATGGCTCACACCTGTAATCCCAGAACTCTGGGAGGCCAAGGTGGGTGGACTGCTTTGAGCTCAGGAGTTTGAGAACAGTCTGGGAAACATGGTGAAACCTCGTCTCTACAAAAAACACAAAAATCAGCTGGGTGTGGTGGCACTTACCTGTAATCCCAGCTACTCGGGAGGCTGAGGCAGGAGAATTGCTTGAGCCTGGCAGGTGGAGGCTGCAGTGAGCAGAGGTTGTGCCACTGTACTCCAGCCTGGGTGACAGTGTGAGACCCGGTATCAAAAAGAAAAAACGTGTATATATATATATATATATATATATATATATATATATATATATATATATGTAAATTTAATATAAAAAGTATTAATTTTGGCCAGGCAAAATGGCTCATGCCTGTAATCCCAGCACTTTGGGAGGCCAAGGCAGACAGATCACCTGAGGTCAGGAGTTCGAGACCAGCCTGACCAGCACAGAGAAACCCCATCTCTACTAAAAATACAAAATTAGCTGGGCATGGTGGCACATGCCTGTAATCCCAACTACTCGGGAGGCTGAGGCAGGAGAATTGCTTGAACCCAGAAGGTGGAGGTTGCGCTGAGCCGAGATAGCACCATTGCACTCCAGCCTGGGCAACAAGAGTGAAACTCCATCTCAAAAAAAAAAAAAAAGGTATTAATTTTTACAGAGGATCAGCACAATGAGGGACACACTAGCACAAAGTAAAGACAACTCTAGAGAATACGGAACTAGCAGAGGCCAGGCATTGTGGCTCATGCCTGTAATCCCAGCAATTTGGGAAGCCTAGGCAGGAGGATCGCTTGAGGCCAGGAGTTGGAGACCAATCAGTGCTAAATAGTGAGACTCTGTGTCTACCAAAAAAAAGAGACATTAGCCAGGTGTGGTGGTGGTGCACACCCGTAGTTCCAGCTACTTGGGAGTCTGGGGTGGGAGAAATCCCTTGAGCCTGGGAAGTCTACACTACAGTGAGCCAAGATTGTGCCACTGCACTCCAGCCTGGGCGACAGAGTGAGACCCTGTCTTAGAAAGAAAAAAGAAAAGAAAGTGTTAATCCCCCTATGGGAATCTCCTCTTCTCCTGCCCTCTCTGGAACCTCACTTGTCAGTTCTTCCTCCCACTTTCCTGTTTCTTTAACCTATCCCCCACTTTTAGCTCCTTCCCATCATCATTTAAATTACTCAAACTTCTTCTGTTTTAAAAACCTCTCCCTAAACTCAGGGAGAGGTCTTCTGCACACACATTGAGCCATCTGCTCTTCCTGGTGCCTTCTCTACAGCAGCCTGAGCCATGTCTCTAATCTATGAATCTCATCATGTTACTCCCCCATTTACATCACTTCTCCTTGCCTCAGGGATTAAGTCCAAACTCCTTAACAGCCCCTGCTCTGCCCTGCCTTGCAAGGCAGCCTCACTGCTTGCCCCTCTCCATTTCATCTGCTATGGAGTCCAACTGAGCCTCATCTGCCCCTTGAACGCACACTCTTTCTCCTCTGGGAGTCTCTGAAGTGGGTAATATCCTCTGCTTATAATATGCTTCCCCTTAAACCTCTACTCTCTTCCTAGCTAGCTTTGACTCCTCTGTCACTTGTCCGCTTTGGCATCACCTCCTCATAGAAGACTTCTATGACTCCCGAGATTCTCAGGAGCATGGCAGGTGAAGTGCTCCTCCCATGAATGGATGGAGATTAGGGAGTGTGTGTTATTCATGCTTAATTCACCAGTGCTTAGCTGAGTACCTGGCATAAAATAGTTACTGTGGTGGCCAAAGTAATAACCCCCACCGCCACCAATTGCTCATGTCCTATGTTACACAGCACAATTACATAGGAAGGGGGAATTAAGAGTGCAGATAAAATTAATGTTGCTCATCAGCTGACCTTAAAACAAGATTATCCTGGAGTATCTAGGAGAGCCCATGTAATTACAAGCATTCTTTAAAACTGGAAGAGGGAGGCAGAAGGTTAAGAACCAGAGACGGTGGGCACAATGGCTCATGCCTGTAATACCAATGCTTTGGGAGGCCAGGGTAGGAAAATCCCTTGAGTGCAGGAGTTCAAGGTCAGCCATGGCAACATACTGAGGTCCCATCTCTACAACAAAATAAAAACAAAATTCACTGAGTGTCACGATGCTTACCTGTAGTCCCAGCTACTGGGAAGGCTGACATGGTAGGATTGCTTGAGCCTGGGAGTTTGAGGCTATAATGAGCCATGATAGGACCACTGAACTCCATCCTGAGTGACAGGGCAAGGTCCTGTTTCTGAAGAAAAAAAGGACATTGGAATCAGGACCCTCTCCATCCTGAGGTGCCTACAAGGCATCTCTCTCTGCAAACGAGTAAACATCACCCTCCAACTCCTTACAGAGTGGAGCAACAGGAAAACTCCTTCACCTCATTTCTGTGCTGCTTGGGAGGCCTGGACAGCCCAATAACCAGCTCCTCGCTGATGAAGCAATCAGGAAATGGCTCGAGTTGAGCTAAGGAGAATTTGGATCCTTCCTTTGGTTCTCAGTAGGCAGGGTAGGGGCCAGGCATGGTGGCTCATACCTGTAATCCTTGCACTGTGGGGGGCCAAGGTGAGAGGATTGCTTGAGGCCAGGAGCTCAAGACCAGCCTGGACAACATAGCAAGACCTGGGTGGCATACACCTGTGGTCCCTACTACTTGGTAGGATGAGGTGGGAGGATTGATCACTTGATCCCAGGAGTTTCAGGCTGCAGTGAGCCATGATCACACCACTGCACTTCAGCCTGGGTGACAGAGCCAGACCATGTCACAAAAAGTTAGAAAAAAAAAAGAGAGAGGGAGAGAGACTATACACAGGCACCACCACATTTGGCTAATTTTTAAATATTCTGTAGAGACAAGGTCTTGCTAGGTTGCCCAGGCTAGTCTAAAACTCCTGGCATCAGGCTGGGCATGGTGGCTCATGCTTGTAATCGCAGCACTTTGGGAAGCTAAGGCAGGCAAATCACCTGAAGTCTGGAGTTCGAGACCAGCCTGGCCAACACGGTGAAACTCTGACTCTATCAAAAATACAAAAATTAGCTGGGCAGTAGTGGCGTGTACCTGTAGTCTCACCTACTCGGGAGGCTGAGGCAGGAGAATCACTTGAACCTGGGAGGTGGAGGTTGCAGTGGACCCCATCCCTGCACTCCACCCTGGGTGACAGAGCGAGACTGTCAAAAACAACAACAACAATAACAAAAACAAAAACAACAACAACAAAAAAAACTCCTGGCATCAAGACATCTTCCTGTCTTAGCCTCCCAAAGCCCTGGGATTATACTGTTTCCTATAATTGAAGACACTTGTTCTTATACTGCTTTAAGGTATAAAGGAAGAAAAAAAAAACAGATAATGGCAAATGTTGGTGAAGGCCGGGCATGGTGGCAGCCTGTAATTCCAGAACTTAGGGAGGCTGAGGTGGGCAGATCACTTGAGGCCAGGAGTATGAGACCAGCCTGGGCAACATGGTAAAATCCCACCACTACAGAAAAATCTAAAAATTAGCCAGGCATGGTGGCGTACACCTGTAATTTTCAGCTACCCAGGAGGCTGAGATGAGAGAATCACTTGTGCCTGGGAGGTCACGGCTGCAGTGAACTGTGATGGCATCATTGCACTGCGGCCTGAGAGACAGAGCAAGCCCCTATCTAGAAAAAAAAAAAATGTTGGCCGGGCGCGGTGGCTCACGCCTGTAATCCCAGCACTTTGGGAGGCCGAGGCAGGTGGATCATGAGGTCAGGAGATCGAGACCATCCTGGCTAACAAGGTGAAACCCCGTCTCTACTAAAAATACAAAAAATTAGCCGGGCGCGGTGGCGGGCGCCTGTAGTCCCAGCTACTCGGGAGGCTGAGGCAGGAGAATGGCGTGAACCCGGGAAGCGGAGCTTGCAGTGAGCCGAGATTGCGCCACTGCAGTCCGCAGTCCGGCCTGGGCGACAGAGCGAGACTCCGTCTCAAAAAAAAAAAAAAAAAAAAAAAAAAAAAGAAAAAAAAAATGTCAGTGAAGATGTGGAGGAATTGGAACCCACATACATTACTGGTGGGAACATAAAATTGTGTAACCATTTTGTTTGGGTATTTCTTTTCTTGTCATTTTAATTGGATTTTTAAAAAATCAAGACGGGGTTTCACTATCTTGCCCAGGCTGGTCTTGAATTCACGGGCTCAAGCCATCCTCCTAGCTGAGCCTCCTGAGTAGCTGGGATTACAGGTGTGAGCCATTGCACCCAACTGGTATAGCCACGTTAGAAAACAGTCTGGCAGTTTCTCAAAAGGCTAAATGTACAGTCATCCTATAATGCAACAATTTCACTCCTAGGCATATATCCCAGAAAAATAAAAATATATGTCCACACAAAAACTTGTACAACAATCTTCATAGCAGCATTATTCATAATGACCAATACATGGAATACATGGAAACAACCCAAATATCCACCAACTGATGAACAGATAAACAAAATGCAGTGTGTCTCTACCATGGAATACTGCCATAGAAGGAATGAAATATTGATACACACTATGACATAAAGGAACTTTGAAAACACTGTGCTAAGAGGGAAGAAAAGCCACAAAAGATCACATATTGTACAATTCTATTTGTCCAGATTAGGCAAATCTATAGTGACAAAAAAATTAATCAATGGTTGCCTAAGGCTGGGGGCAAAGGTAGGTGGGGAGAGTAGGAGGTAGTGGCTAAGGGGTATGGATTTCTCTATAGGGTAATGAAAGGTTCTAAAAGTGACTGTGGTGATCGATGCACAGCTCTGTGAATATTCTAAAACCTACTGAATTGCAGATTTCAATAAATAAAGTGAATGGTATGTGAATATTTTAATAAAGCTATTATTTAAAATAATAATAATAGGGGGCTGGGCACAGGTGGTCATGCCTGCCTGTAATCCCAGCACTTTGGGAGGCTGAGGCAGGAGGATCACTTGAGGTCAGGAGTTTTGAGCCCAGTCGGAGCAACATGGCAAGATCTCGTCTCTATGATAAAAAATTACCTGGACATGGTGGCACATGTCTGTAGTCCCAGCTACTTGGGAGACTGAAGTGAGAGAACCACTTGAGCCCAGGAGTTTGAGGCTACAGTGAACCATGATCATGTCACTGTACTGTAGCCTAAGCAACAGAGCAAGATGCCATTTCTGAAAAGGAAAGAAAACAAATGCAAGTTTTTATCACTTTGTGAGTGTAGCCAAGTTGGAGGAGAAATAGACAATAATAAAAGAGCACTGAATAATGACGGTGAGTGGCTGGTTAGGCTCAGTTGCTAGCTAAATGGCTTCTAAAAAATTCAATAAAGTTACAGCTCTGGGGACAGTCATGTAGTCAAAGAATGAAGGCGAAATTCATTACAATTGCCCATGGTCTTTATTTACATGCCTTCTAGTGAAAAATTCCTAAGTGCCTAAACAGCAAGTCTGCAATGATAGCAGCTGTTTATTAAAGACTACAAAAAAGAAATGGAGGCCGGGCGTGGTTGTTCACATCTGTACTCCTTGAATTTTGGGAGGCTGAGGCAGGCAGATTGCCTGAGGTCAGGAGCTCCAGAGGAGCCTGGCCAACATGGTGAAATCCCATCTCTACTAAAAATACAAAAATTAGCTGGGTATGGTGGCGGGCACCTGTAATCCCAGCTACTCGGGAGGCTGAGGCAGGAGAATTGCTTGAACCCAGAAGGTGAAGGTTGCAGTGAGCCAAAATCGCACCATTGCACTCCAGCCTGGGTGACAAGAGAAAGACTCTTATCTTAAAAAAAAAAAGAAAAAAAAGAAATGGCATCTTCTTCAAGAATTACATCGTGTTTCATGATAAAGAAGCTCTAATTTTGCATTTGTTCAAGTATTGATGAGATTTACCCAATATGACACCCATCTTGGATAAAATGCAAACAACACAATTTCATTTTCTCATTAACAAAACCGATTAAGTAGTCTAATATAAATTGCGATCTTATTAAAAACTGATCAGATTAAAAAAATTATGGAATTATGGAGCCAATAAGATGTTACAACCTGTTCCAAGGGGAATTCCAAAATCCACACATATCTGAGACCATCAAGTATGATGAAATATATTTGATTACTATATTGAAAAATAAACTGATTACATAGCCAACAATTGGACAGGGGTCTCCTCATCCACAGCCACACAAACCCGATCATGCAGCTATGTGGTTACAAGGCCTACATAGCCTAGAAGGGACTGGTCTGACTTGAGATTTCATTTGTATTTGTATTTTGAGACAGGGTCCCACTCTGTCACCCAGGATGGAGTGCAGTGGTATAATCATAGCTCACTGCAACCTTGACCAACTGGGCTCAAGAGATGCTCCTGCCTCAGCTGCCCCCATACCTGGGAATACAGGCAAGTACCACCATGTCAGGCATTTTTTTCATTTTTGTAGAGAGAGAAGACTTGCTATGTTGCCCAAGCTGGCCTCAAACTCCTAGAATCAAGAGATCTGCCCATCTCAGCCACATGAGTAACTGGGGCCATAGGTACATACCATCATGCCTGGCTATATTTATTTTATTTTATTAAATTTATTTTTTTTATTTTTGTAGAGAGGAGGTCTTGCTGTGTTGCCCAGGCTGCTCTCAAACTCATGGCCTTAAAACATACTCCCATCTCTGCCTCTCAAACTGTTGGAACTATAGGTGTGAGCCACTGTACCTGGCCTGACTTGGGATTTCTTTTATCTAGCATCCTTTACTTGGTAGGATTGGGAAAAGCAGTAGTGTTTTTTAAAATTACTTAATAATTCAATCAGAATCAAACTCAACCTTGACCACTGCCTTCTCTCACAGCTCACATCCAGTCTGTCAGGAAATCCTACTGACTGACTTCAACATGTATCCAGGCTCTAACCATCTCTCACCACCACCATGAACCCCGTCAGGATCACTATCATCTCCCACCGGGATGTTGCCACAGCTTGGCTCCCATGCTTCTACCCAAATCTTCCCATAGTCTCAACTCGGCAGCCAGGTCGTGCTTTTAAATCAGGAAACGGATCATGTCGCCTCTCTGCTCAGAAGCCCTCGGTGGTTCCCATTTTAGTCAGAGTAAAAGCCAAAGCCCCAGCAATAGCGTCCCAGGGCTTACACGATCTGTACCGATCCCAGCCCAGCAACTCCCTGGCCTCCTCGCTGACTTCGCTCCCTCTATCTCTTTGCTCCACTGGCCTCCTTCCAGAGCCTCAGACACACCAGAGAGTTTCCTCCTAATGCCTTTATCCTGTTGACTCAGCCTACAATGCTCTTCCCTCAGCACCTTGGCCAGCTCCATCACCTGCTTCAAACTTTTGCTCAATATTCACTTATGAGGCCAACCCTGACCACTCTACTTAACACTGCCATCTGTCCCCATTCCCACCATGCTCATTTCTTTCTTTCTTTTTGAAACAAGGTCTTGCTTTATTGCCCAGGCTGGAGTACACTGGTGCAATCACAGCTCACAGCAACTTCAACCTCCCAGGCTTAAACAATCCTCCCGCCTCAGCCACCCTAGGAACTGAGACTACAGCTGCATGCCACAACACATGGCTTTTTTTTTTTTTTTTTGAGATGGAGTCTCGGTCGCCCAGGCTGAAGTGTAAGGGTGCGATCTTGGCTCACTGCAATGTCTGCCTTTTGGGTTCAAGTGATTCTCTGCCTCCCAAGTAGCTGGGATTACAGGCACCCACCACCACACCTGGCTAATGTTTGTATTTTTAGTAGAGATGGGGTTTCACCATCTTGGCTAGGCTGGTCTTGAACTTCTGACCTCGTGATCCACCCTCCTCGGCCTCCCAAAGTGCTGGGATTACAGGCGTGAGCCACTGCGCCTGGCCTTTAAAAAAATTTTTTTTTAGACATGAGGTCTCATTATGTTGTCCAGGCTGGTCTTAAGCTCCTGGGCTTAAGCGATCCTCCCACCTCAGCCTCCTAAAGTTCTGGGATTACAGGCGTGAGCAACCGTAACATGAGGTCCCAGCTTCATGTTCATTTTTTGTTGTTGCTACAACAAAGTACCCTACATTTAGTGGCATCAAACACCACAAATCTACCATCTTACAGTTCTGGGGGCCAGAAGCCCAACTAGGTCTATTAAGGTTAAAGTCAAGGTGTCAGAGAGGCTGCATTCCTTCTGGGGGAGGCTCTAGACAGAATGTGCTCCTTTGCCTTTTCCAGCTTCTAGAAGCCACCCCCATTCCTTGACTTACCTCGTGACTCCATATTCAAGGCCAGAAGTGCAGCATCTTCAAATCTCCCTCTCTGACCTCTTCTTCCATTACCACATCACTTTCTCTAATTCTGACTCTCCTACCTCATTCTCTTATAAAGATCCTTGTGATTGGTGGGTATGGGGGCTCCCATCTGTAATCCCAACATTTTGGGAGGCCAAAGAGGAAGGATTGCTTGAGGCCAAGAGTTAGAGATCAGCCTGGGGAAAAAAGGAAGATCCTGCCTTTACAAAATTAAAATCAGCTGGACATGGTGATGCATGCCTGTAGTTCCAGCTACTGGAGAGGCTAAGGTGGGAGGATTGCTTTAGCCTAGGAGGTCAAGGCTGCAGTGAGCTATGATCACATCACTGCACTCCAGCCTCAGTGGCAGAGTGAGACTCTGTCTCCGATATAAGAAAAGAAATATACATTTGGTCTCTGCCCCTGGTTCCTGGCATAGAGCTTCCAAAGCTCTTATAAAGCCCTTCGTGACAGAGGTAATAGGAGCATTTTCTGTTTTGATATTTAGTCTTAGTCCCAGGTTCCTGACACAAGGGCCTCTAAGGTCTTTCAGATCTGCAGCATGGTAAGAATGCATGTGGGATGCTGTTGAGCTAACGGGGTGGCTGCAAGCTCCGAGACTGCTTCAGGAGGAGGGCTAGCTGCCAGAGAAAGCAACCACATTTTTTTTTTAAAACGGAGTTTGGCTCTTGTAGCCCAGGCTGGAGTGCAATGGCACAATCTCAGCTCACTACAACCTCCACCTCCCGGGTTCAAGCAATTCTCCTGCCTCGGCCTCCCGAGTAGCTGGAATTATAGGGATGTGCCACAACGCCTAGCTAACTGTTGTTATTTTTAGTAGAAATGGGGTTTCACCATGTTGGTCAGGCTGGTCTCAAACTCTTGACCTCAAGTGGTCCATGTGCCTCAGCCTTCCAAACTGCTAGGATTACAGGAGTGAGCCACCGCACCTGGCCCCAACCACATTTTTTGAGGCTTGGAACTTTCAGCCTCACCTGCTGAACTCCAGGAGGCAAAAGGAACTGGAGATTGACTTAACTACCAATGGCCAGTGATTTTATCAATCATGCCTCCATAAACACCCAAACAGCAGGGTTTGGAGAGCTTCTGTGTTGCTAAACACAAGGAGGTCCTGGGAGGGTAGTGTGCCCAACAGAGGGCATGGAAGCTCTGTGCCCCTCCCCACTTACCTTGTCCTGTGCATCTCTTTCATTGGCTGTTCCTGAGATGGAGCCATTACATTGAGCCAGTAATAGAAAATAAGGTGGCCAGATGCGCTGGCTCATGCCCGTAATCCCAGCACTTTGGGAGGCAGAGGTGGGCGGAATCACTTGAGCCTAGGAATTTGAGACCAACCTGGGCAACATAAGAAGACCCCATCTATACAAAAAATAAAAGAAATTAGCCAAATGTGGTGGTGGGAACCCTGTAATTCCAGCTACTTGAGAGGCTGAAGCAGGAGAATCACTTGAGCTCTGGACGTTGAGGCTTCAATGAGCTATGATTGCACCACTGCACACCAGCTTGGACAACAGAGCGAGGCCCTGTCTCTTAAAAAGAAAAGAAAAAAAACTTGTTTTTCTAAGTTCTGTGAGTTGTTCTAGTAAATAATTAAACTCAACAAGAGGGTCATGGGAAACCCTGATTTCTAACTGGTTGGTCAAAATACAGGTGACAACCTAGGACTTGCAACTGGCATCTGAAGTGAGGGTGGTCTTGTGGGACTGAGCCCCTAACCTGTGGGTTCTGTGCTAACTCTAGGTAGTGTCAGAATGGAATTGTGGGATACGCGGTTGGTATCCAGAGAGTTGGAGAACTGGTGTAGAAACTCTGCACACACATTTGGTCAGAAGTCTGTGAGTAGAGAGAAACGTGTTGCAGGAAGTCAGGGACCCCAAACGGAGGGACTGGCTGAAGCCACAGCAGAAGAACATAAATTGTGAAGATTTCATGGACATTTATTAGTTCCCCAAATTAATACTTCTATAATTTCTTAGGCCTGTCATTACTGCAATCTCTGAACATAAATTGTGAAGATTTCATGGACACTTATCACTTCCCCAATCAATACCCTTGTGATTTTCTATGCCTGTCTTTAATCTCTTAATCCGGTCATCTTCGTAAGCTGAGGATGAATGTCCCCGCAGGACCCTGTGATAATTGCGTTAACTGCACAAGTTGTTTAAACAATATGAAACCTGGGCACGTTGAAAAAAGAACAGGATAACAGCAATTTCAGGGAACAAGGGAGATAACCTTAAACTCTGGCTGCCAGTGGGCCGGGTTGAACAGAGCCATATTTCTCTTCTTTCAAAAGCAAATAGGAGAAGTATTGCTGAATTCTTTTTCTCAGCAAAGAACATCCCTGAGAAAGAGAATGCATCCCTAAGGGGAGGCCTCTGAAATGGCCACTTTGGGGACGGCTGTCTTTTACAGTCATAGATAAGGGATGAAATAAGCCCTGGGTTCGCGTGGCGCTCCCAGCCTTATCAGGACAAGGAAATTCCCGCCTAATAAATGTTGGTCAGATGGGTTGTCTGCTCTCAAACCCTTTCTCCTGATAAGATGTTATCAATGACAATGCGCGCCCGAAACTTCATTAGCAATTTTAATTTCGCCCCGGTCCTGTGGTCCTGTGATCTTGCCCTGCCTCCATTTGCCTTGTGATATTTTATTACCTTGTGAAGCATGTGATCTCTGTGACCCACACCCTATTCGTACACTCCCTCACCTTTTGAAAATCACTAATAAAAACTTGTTGGTTTTGCGGCTTGGGGGGCATCACGGAACCTGCCGACGTGTGATGTCTCCCCTGGACATCCAGCTTTAAAATTTCTCTCTTTTGTACTCTTTCCCTTTATTTCTCAGACTGGCTGACACTCAGGGAAAATAGAAAAGAACCTACATGAAATATCAGGGGTGAATTTCCCCCGATATCACACTGGCTCTTCTCTCACCTGTCTACCTGCTTAACTTAATAGGAGAGGCAATGCATGGTGCTCATGAACAAGGCAAGCATTAAAGTCAGACCAGACTAACATTTGACTCAGTCCTAATATTCAGGTGAGCTTGGGCAAATCGCTCATTAACCCCAAGTCTTCATCATTTTGTGCATATAATGGGGATAACTGTGGCACCCACCTGTTTTTGTGAGAATCAATGAAATATTATGCTTGATGTTATTGTGATCATGATACTATCTGACAAGGGCAGTGATGCATGATAACATCAAAAAATTAGAAACTGTAATGAGGTCTCTTGAGCAAAATTCCATACAAGCAAATTACTGTCTCTACAAAGCATTTCTGCCACACTTAATTCACCATTCCCTGAACAAAATGTGCCATCTTCATTGTTCAGGTCTGTATAGTGCTGGTTTCCCTGCCTGGGCAGCTCACTCCATCCCATCCCAGCCCAATCCCCATCCCTCCACCTCCCCCTTCCCTCCCCACTCTCATACAACTCTTCCTTATCTTACAGGACTTGGCTTCAATGTCACCTTAACTGGAAGCTTCTCTCCCTCTCCAGAAGAGCTTCCGATTGCACTTGATGCATGCACTATTATTTGATCATTTTTGAGTTACAGTCCAAGTCTTTTTGTACCTGAATAACATGTTGCCCAGTCAGTTTCTCTTCCTGGATTCAGAAGTCTTTCATGGTAGGTCCAGCTAGAAGTGACAAAAAGACATTTAAAAAAAAAAAAAAAAGAGGGATGACACAGACAGACATCAGCGCTTAAAAGTTTTAAACGATATGTGAAAAACAAAATTTAAGGGCTTCTAGGAGAAATGTAGGAGGGAAGGTGTTACTGGGAAATATGATAGAAGGTTAATTTTTATTTTATTTTATTTTTAGAGAAAGGGTCTTGCTCTATCACCTAGGCTGGACTGCAGTGCTGCAATCACAGTTAACTGCAGCCTCAACCTCCAGGGCTTGAGCAATATTCCCATCTAATTTTTATTTTGTTTAAGAAGTGCAGTCTTGCTCTTAGCAAAGCTAAAGTGCAATGGTGTGATCATAGCTTACTGCAGCCTCAACCTTCTAGACTCAAGTGATCCTCCAGTCTTAGCCTCCCCAGTAGCTCGGACTACAGGTGTGCACTGCAACGTGTAGCTCATTTTTTTTTTTTTAATTTTTAGTAGAGACAAAGTGTCACTATGTTGACCAGGTTGGTGGTGATCTCCTACACTCAGGCAGTTCTCTCACCTCAGCCTTCCAAAATGCTGGGATTAAAGGTGTGAGCTGCCACACCTGGCTGAGGGGGTTAATTTTTAATTATATAAAGAGCTCAAAGCAAATATTAGAAGGAGCCTAAATGCCTCCAGCAGTTGACTGGTACTGGTAAATTGTGACACATCCATATAATAAAATATTATGCAACCATGAAAAGGATTAAGATAGATCAATAGGTATTGGCACAAATGTCCACGAAATATGAAAATATGAAGTGATGTTCAATCACCATGTACGTATCTTGAAGGATATGGCCCATTTTCTCAACTGCAATTATTTCCTGAGATAAGATTATGGGTCTAAAGAGTGAAGGACATTTTTCACTTATTTAAAAGTATTTATTATTTTTATAATTTAATAAAAGATTAAACAGATCATTGAATTAGTAAAAGACAAAGTAACTCTATAAATAAATGGAAAAGACACAGATACCCCAGGCATGGTGGCTCATGCTTATAATACCAGTACTTTGGGAGGGGGTGGTGGGGGGATTGCTTGAGGCCAGGAGTTCCAGACCAGCCTAAGAAACAAAGCAAGACCTCCTCTCTAGTAAAAATAAAAAAATAAAAATAATTGGCCAGGCATAGTGGCATGTGCCTATAGTCCCAACTACTGAGGTGGAAGGATCACCTGAGCCTAGGAGGTCAAGGCTGCAGTGAGTTGAGACTGTGCCACTACACTGAAGCCTAGGAGACAGAGCGAGACTTCATCTCAAAAAAAAAAAAAAAAAAAAAGGACAATAAAGAAATAAAGCTAATAAGCTAACATAAGGAAAGATAAAATATGTGACAAATAGGCTGGGCACATGGCTCACAGCTGTAATCAAGCACTTTGGGAGGCCAAGGCGGGTAGATCACGAGATCAGGAGTTCGAGACCAGCCTGATCAACATGGTGAAACCACGTTTCTACTAAAAATACAAAAATTAGCCAGGCATGGTGGCATGTGCCTGTAATCCCAGCTACTCAGGAGGCTGAGGCAGGAGAATCGCTTGAACCTGGGAGGCACAGGTTGCAGTGAGCCGAGATCACACCACTGCACTCCAGCCTGGTCAACAGAGCGAGACTGTGTCTCAAAAAAGAAAAAAGAATGGGTGACAAAGTAATAATATGAGGTCTTTCATTTATCACACAGAAAATAACTTGTTAAATTATAATACCTGTGTGGGCGAAGGTGCAGTGAAATGGCCATTTTCTTGTAGTATTAGTGGTGTTTAAAATGTATATAAGCCTTCCAGCATAAAGCTTGGAAATTTTTTTTAAATCATACAGACAGTGACTCATTATACTGCCTCCTCCAACTCCTGGCCTCAAGCAATCCTCCCACCTCAGCCTCCCAAAGTGCTGGAATTACAGGCTGACAGCCACCATGCCTGAAAGCTTTGCAATTTACATCGAGGGTAATAAGAATGCTCATGCCCTGTGACTCACAGTAATCTCACTTCTCGAAATTTCACCTTTGGATATAATTCAACCTAAACAAAAGGTCATATGCACAAACACAGTGAAAATCTGGGAGTAATTTTTTTTTCTTTTTTTAAAAAAATATGGAATGCTTCACAAATTTGCATGTCATTCTTCCACAGAGGCCGTGCCAATCTCTCTATTGTTCCAACTTAAGTATGTGTGCTACTGAGGCAAGCATGAGTAATTTAAGATAGAGTGGTTAAGTGAAATAAGGAAGAATTATGGAGAATTTAAAAATCTATGCTATTTATAGGCACCTAGTAACAGCTCAGTAAATATTAGCTGCTACTATTATTATTTTTATGGTAATTTCACTCAATTAAAAACTGTCGTTAAAAATTACCATTGTCATGGAACATAATGTCTCCTACTGTATAATTGTAAAAACAGATACAATTTGTCCCTTGGTATATGGGGGGATTAGTTCCAGCTCTCCCATTTCTGTGTATACCAAAATCCACGCATACTCAAGTTTTCGAAGTCAGTCCTGTGGAATCCACATATAACACAAATGGGAAAATTAGTGAGGTGTGGTGACAAGCACCTGTAGTCCCAGCTACTTGTGAGGCTGAGGCAGGAGGATTGCTTGAGCCCAGGAGGTTGAGGCTGCAGTGAGCCATAATTGCACCACTGCACTCCAGTCTGGGCAACAGAGTGAGACAGAAGGTTGACTTTTTAATAGAATTTTTCTGTTCACTTGAAGATATGGTCAGGATTGTGGCATATGAAAATTCTTCATAAAATAACTATCTAATCCAATTAATGCTGGAATTGGGAACAGCAGAAGTGTCATCTCAGAGCTACTCGCAATGAAAGGTGATGTCTGGGGCTCAGGTGTGTTGAGGTCCCCACGCCTGGACTATGGGTGCTGAGTGGGATTTACTTGTCCATCCATTTTCTATATTCCAGCACTGGGAAACCAGGGACAGTACTTGTTCTCAAGGGAATCTTCAGCTTAGGTGGCTCTGTAAAAGAGAAATTACATCATTGAAAAATCGTCGCAGGTCAGGTGAGGTGGCTCATACCTATAATCCCAGCCCACTGGGAGACTAAGGCAGGAGGATTCCGTGAGGCCAGGAGTTCAAGACCAGCCTGAGCAACACAGTGAAACCTCATCTCTACAAAAAATTAGAAAATGAACTGGGTGCGGTAAAACATTCGTATAGTCCCAGCTACTCTGGAGGCTGAAATAGGAGGATCGCTTGAGCCCAGGAAGTGGAAGCTGCAGTGAGCTCTGATCTCACCACTGCACTCTAGCCTTGGTGACAGAGTGAGACCCTGTCTCAAGACACACACAAACACACACACACACACACACACACACACACACACACACACACACCCCCAATCTCACTCTGTCCAGCCTTGACTAATCAAAAGGGCCTTCTGGTTACAGAAGAGGTATGCTCTTTTGTAGGACAGGGAGAGACCAGCAAGCTTGTTCACAGACTTTTCCTCATCCTCTGCTTAGTCTTCCAAGAACCCTCACAGTGGAAATGGAGTCTCTGGGAAAATGACCTAAATCTTTGGGTTACCAGGGGAGAAATATGCCTCCTTTGTCAATTAATAAATGGAACATCTGCCTTAAAATCCAGGGAGTTCTGCTAGAATGAATCACTCCCTAAGACCCTGACCAATGCATGGAACATGAAAAACTGAAGTTTAACTGGGCGCGGTGGATCACGCCTGTAATCCCAGCACTTTGGGAGGCTGAGGCGGGCGGATCACCTGAGGTCAAAAGTTCTAGATCAGCCTGGCCAACATGGTGAAACCCCATCTCTACTAAAAATACAAAAATTAGTTGGGCATGGTGGTGGACACCTGTAATCCCAGCTACTTGGGAGGCTGAGGCAGGAAAATCACTTGAACCCGGAAGGCAGAGGTTGCAGTTACTTCTAGAAGAATTTCCATTAGCCCTTTGAAATCCTTCAACATTCATGAAGGCCAAAGAGTTTTCACCTAATTTAATCTGATGGGTATGCGACCAGAGTCTTTCTAGGGAATAGAGACTCCCAAACAGTTCGACTGGGAAGTGAGGAGAGAATTTATTACTCAAAACCAAAGGGAAATGAAAAGAGGCCAACATAGAATGTCATTATTCTTTCTTGGCGGGGAATGGATTCCAGAGTCATTCTGTGACCTTTACATGACCTCCTTATTAGCATCTAAAAGCTTCCAGTGTAGGATGCAGCCAGCTAGGTTCTCTTCTAATGTAATAAAATTTGCTTCGGCAAATCTTATGCAGAGCCATCTCCAGGCTCCAGAAACAATAGGCTATAAATTACTGGATCTCCCATTTGATACAATGAAGTATGAGCACGGTCCTGAATGACTCCTCTACATACTACTCTGGGTGGCTTGAAGTGAATTTGATACAAGAACTGGAGCGAGGGCAAAGCAGAGCTAGATCTAGGATTAATGTGCTTGGGCCCAGCTCCTCACTACTCACCTATGAGTCTAGTTCCAGAACCCAAGTAGAGGATGGGGAAACAAGGCTCCTGACTTTTTTTCCCTAATGTCTGCATCTCTTTCACATTTCTTATCTCCTTGCAAAGAAACTAAACAGTCTCAACTGAAATAACTAAATGATTAAACCCTATACAGAGAATCTCCAAAGACTGACAAAATATCATTCAAGACTGTTACACAGACAACCTTGAGGATGACTTGATGTACCAGTGATCTACAATATTTGGGATCATTCCAAATTCCCATCAAGGATCTGCCTATATCAACAAAGGAGCCAAGGACCAACCATTCAAATGGGCCCTGCTGCCAAGCCTTTTTTTTTTTTTTTTTACAATGCCATCTCTTCATATTGTTCCATTTAACAAAACTGCAGCCCTTCATCTATCCTTAAGTCCCTTGGCCAATGGTACAGAGCCAGAGTATGCTACTCCCTAGCAGGAAATCAACAGGATGACCTACTAAACACCATTCAGAAGATGCTAAGACCCATGAATTGCAACAGGAAAGAAAAGACAGAGAATTAGTCAGACAGGTACATGCTGTGCCAAAAATGCACTACAGCCCCCACCCAATTCTGCCTAATCCTAGCTGGGCTGACACCAACCTGATGAGACAGGCCTATAAGATCTCAAACTAAAACAGAAACTCCTGAACTGGGTTCTTTCGAGCCCAGGAAGCAGCAGTAAATCATTAAAGAACAGATAAGTTCTTAAGGTGAGGGAGAGTTTCAGATAAATGGAATGCTGGTAGAACACAGGGCCCAAAGGAGCAAAAGTTAACCTAAGCCCAGGTAGAACCTTGTTTACTAGAGTATTAGGCATGGGTTTGGGCAACTATTCTAACCAGAGAAACTGGCTTCAGTGAGGGCAAGTTGGCAATCCAAGGTATAGCATGCATAGGGCTGGCAAAATTCAGGGTGACTGAAGCAAAAGCTTCAGAACCAGAAAGACCACATCTGGGGGTAGAGCACAAAACTCTCAAGAGATGAATCTTTGTAAGAGTGAGGCAGAACTATATAGCAGTTTTAGGAGATCTGTTGGTGCCCAGCAAGAGCTCCAAACGGGCTATATGCAGGGATGCAGGCTGTAGTCTCAGGAGAGGAGGTTCACAAAAGTCATTCAGTCCAAGACCTCAAACTGTGTTCTCTACTAAAAGGAATCAAGGTTCCCTAGAGAAACGGCTGACTCCATGTATGGTGCAGTATATTGATCCTGGAACATCTTTTTTGCCAGAAAGCAAGGAAGCCATCAAAGTCCAACAGGATCACGTCAAAAAGACATGAAAGTCAACTTGAAGAGATAATTATTAACCTAGATGAGACAATGTAAGCATCCAAAACAATAAAGACTGCAATGGCCTGAAATACATCAAATGCAAACAATAATCTATGAGTTCATAATGGTATTCAGAAAAAAAAACTACTGGTCATTAGAGGGAAGGTTACTAGGTCACTAACTTACTACTCTGAAAAGTGACTTAAGATGAGAGGTAGGGTGGAGAATTAGCTATTTATTCAGTCTTTCCTGTACAAACATAAATTTTTAGGGAGATTGAAGCAGATGAAACAAATCTGGAAAAATGGAGGTAACTGCTTAATCTGCGGGTTGGGTGCATGGAGGTTCAACATATTTCTTTTGTGTATATTTGAACCCCCTACAAAAAAAGCACAAGACAGAATGTGAGCCAAGCAGCTTAGGGTTTAGGCAAGGCTTCTGCCTACAAGAGACACCAGGATATGAGGGGTAGTTTTAGCCCTAATGGGCTGAGCCAACTGGAGGTATATAGGGAAGTGCTAAATTGCAGAGGTATCATGTTGCCCAGCACTTGATCAAATCCTAGATCCTAGGTCTGCTTGGTGGCATGCTTCCTAGGTAGTGGATCTGAGGCTACCTATAGAACTTCCTTTGCAGTCATAGTTCGCTCAGAAACTACAAAAGTGCTTGCTCTTGAAAATGGAGTCTTTGTCCATTTCATGCTTCTATAAAAGAATACCACAGACTGCATAATTTATAAAAAGGAAAAAAGGAAGGAAAGAAAAAAGGAAGGGAGGAGGGAAGGAGGGGAAAAGGGAAGGAGGGAAGGAAAGGAAGGAAGGGAAAGAAGGAAAGGAAGGAAGGGAAAGAGAGAAAGAGGGAAGGAGGAAGGGAGGGAAGGAGGGAGGGAGGGAGAGAGGGAGGGAGGGGAAGGGAAGAAAAGGGAAGAGAAGGGAAAGGAGGAAGAAAAGGAAAGGAAAGGAATAAATTTTATTTCTTAACAGTTCTGGATGTTAGGAAGTCCAAGGTTGAGGGGCCTGCATCTGGTAAGGGTCTTCTTGCTGCATCATCCCACTACAGAAGGCAGAAGGAAAAGAGAGTGCAAGAAAGCAAGAGGGCAAAAGGGGCTGAACTCGATGTTTTATAATAAGCCCACTCTGTGATTACTAATCTATTACCACAATAACAACATTAACTCATTCATGAAGGCTATTTTATTAGGCCCCACATCCCAACTGTTGCATTGAGGATTGAGTTTCCAGCACATAAACTTTGGGGGACACATTTAAACCATAGCAGAGCACTTAGGTTAATTCAACTAAGAGGAGCTGGGAAAATCAAAGGCATGAGAAAGACAGCAAAAGCTAGCAGAGAGAAATGCATAGGTTAAGGAAAAAAGTCACAGTGAATCCTGTAGTGCAGGCTACTTTATCAAAAGCACCTAAAAAAGATCTCATTAACTCCCCCAGCTCACCTCCACGCACATCTAAAGAGCCACACACAGCACCACCAAAGGCAGCACAATGAGAACAGCATTCTCCTCAACAGACAAGCTGGGAGTATCTAGACACCTGACCTCAATAGCTCCAGAACAGCCCTAAAACATTTCCTCCCTAACCACCACTCAAGTCACCAGCTTGGAAAGTATTAAGAAAACCCAAATCCTGACACACCACTATGAAACAACTTAAAACAGCAAAGAACAACCCATTTAAACAGCAATGCCAGCTGTTGGGAAAAAAAGGAACAATGAGTAGAGGAGAAACAGACCTCTCGGGGTCCACCAAGACCCAGTCTCTCAGCTTCAGCACTTTTAAATGCAGAATCCATACCCCTCTGGGGCCTGTGGAGCTCCACAAGGCATGTCGTCCTCAAAGATAAATGAGCAGGCAAGCTGGCTAGAAAACCACTAAGGGTATTTATTCTTTAAAGAATCTTTACAGGGTCAAAGAAGAATGGGTCTTAACTGGCTATGTGAACTCCCCACAGATTCTGAGGATGATGTCAGTATCCCTTTCCAGATGTGTTTAACACTTTGCAGTCACTTGTATTCCTGCTACTGAGTGCCAGTGCTTTGCTAATTTGAACTGATTCCAGCTCACGCTGACCCCAGCTCCCTGGATGTTACCATTAGCCAAGACTGTCACCCATACTGTACCCTTTCAAAGAGTCCTAAAAACAGCTCTTCACCTACTCTTCCAAGACAAGTAAAAATGTCTGCCAAAGAAATGGGGAAAAAAGATTCAGAGAGTGAAAACAATTAATATACTAACAAGAGAGCAAAAAGCAAAGGGGGAGGAGAAACTAGGAAAATCATATATGGGCTCTCACCTATTTCCAAAGCTGGGCTAATGTCCTTTTGCTTGTGTCTGAATAAGGCACCAATTTTAAGCTGCTAATGAAAAAAAAAGAAAAAGAGAAAGAAGCAGGCCCAGGCTGGGCGCAGTGGCTCATGCCTGTAATCCCAGCACTTTGGGAGGCCGAGGCGGGTGGATCACCCAAGGTCAGGAGTTCTAGACCAGCCTGGTCAACATGGTGAAACACCATCTCTACTAAAAATACAAAAAATTAGCCAGGCATGGTGGCGCATGCCTGTAAATCCAGCTACTAAGGAGGCTGAGGCAGGAGAATTGCTTGAACCTGGAAGGCAGAGAATGTGGTGACCTGAGATCACGTCATTGCCCTCAAGCCACGGCAATGAGAACAAAATTCGGTAAAAACAAAACAAAACAAAACAAAACTACCATAAAATAACTCAGACTTAATTAAATACAACCCTAGTGGTGAATGACTAAAGCTGGATTACTCATAACAGAGGTAACAGTCCAATAAGAATCCAGGAATCTTACCTTTTAATAACAAAAAAATCCTTTCCTTCTAAAGTAACATCCTCTCAAGGCCAGGAATTCCATTAGTAGAAAGCCTTCCTAAAAAACAAAATTCCTGGCCAGGCATGGGTTCACGTCTGTAATCTCAGCACTCTGGGAGGCCGAGGCGGGAAGATCACTTGATATCAGGAGTCGAGGCGGGAAGATCACTTGACGTCAGGAGTTTGAGACTGGCCCGGCCAACATGGTGAAACCGCATCTCCACTAAAAATACAAAAATTAGCCTGGTATGGTGGTGGGCACCTGTAATCCCAGTGACTTGGGAGGCTAAGGCAGGAGAATTTCTTGAACCCAGGAGGCAGAGGTTGCAGTGACCAGCAAGGTTGCGCCATTGCACCCCAGCCTGGGCGATAAGAGTGAAAACTCCATCTCAAAAAAAAAAAAAAAAAAAATTCCTTTGGGAAGGCCTTCTACATAAAAATCTTCAACATGAGACTGGAAAAAAGGGTATGGGATCATCACCGGACCTTTGGCTTTTACAGCTCGAGCTGTAAGAACAAAAAGAAAAAGGGATATCATTTAAACACAGTATGTAGAAAAGAATAATTATTGAATCTGTACTGGTCTTTAACTTTTACACTTTGATCTTTAATTCTGTTATTGTGATTGAGTCCAAAGAAAAACAGTATGAGTAAAATAAAAAGAACACCAAAAATGCTAATATTCTGTTTACCGAAGTCTGTAGTGAAATATCCCATTAAATCCAAGTGCAGTGACACACCCATAATCCCAAGCACTTTGGGAGGCTGAGGCGGGTGAATCTCCTGAAGTCAGGAGTTCAAGGCCAGCCTGGCCAACATGGTGAAACCCCAACTCTACTACAAATACAAAAATTAGGCAGGCGTGGTGGCAGAGGCCTGTAATCCCAGCTACTTAGGAGGCTGAGGCAGGGAGAATTGCTTGAACCCAGGAGGTGAGCTTGCCATGAGCTGAGATCATACCACTGCACTCCAGCGTGGGTGACAGAACAAAACTTCAACCTCCAAAAAAAAAAAAAAAAAAAAAAAAAACAGCTAGCAGGTGACATTTGCTATAGGGAGACTAGGGATATGATCTTGCTGCAATCCTTCCATTTTAGTAAATCTAAACAAGTGTGAATCCATTCTGTTTCGTCCCCACTCCACTCCAGAGCCAAAACAAGAAAATCAATTATATTTCTAGTTCTTTAAAAACATATCTAACTAAATCATCTAATTAAAAGATAATATGCATGGTTCCATACTCTAAAAGAAAACTTATGTCCTGCATATCATGGACATTTGATGAATGCTTATTCAGTTGACTGGTGTAGCCTTCAATAATAACCTGTTCAATGCATTATGCCAGATGAATCTTGCATCTCAAAAGTAGAACAAATATTGTTCTTTCAGTTTTGTCTACCCATAAATGCAATATTTACTAATAAAAAGAAAATGAGTTTATTGTTCTAGAGAGTATGAGAATTTTGACAACATGAATTCTTCTGTCCTAGGACATAATTAATACTTAGAGGCATACTATTTCATGTGGAAGCTACCATTAAATCAATGTTAAGTGTTAATTACCTCACATAATCTTCTAATCTGACTTGACTGAAGACGTACCTGACAGTTGATTTATCAAGTTGTAAATCTTCACCTGTTGAATTCATAAGTTCATGTCTGAAAGGTGAGAATAAATACTTAATATTCATTAGGCAATATTCAGCAAAGTAATATCCACTAGTACATATTTAATATTTCATCATGAACTGCGGTTGTGAAGAGAAAAGACAGGCTGGGCACAGTGGCTCACACCTGTAATCCCAGCAGTTTGGGAGGCCGAGGCAGGCAGATCATGAGGTCAGGAGTTCGAGACCAGCCTGGCCAACATGGTAAAACCCCGTCTGTACTAAAAGTACAATAATTAGCTGGGCATGGTGGCAGGCACCTGTAATCCCAGCTACTCGGGAGGCTGAGGCAGGAGAATTGCCTGAACCCAGGAGGTGGAGGTTGCAGAAACCATTATCACGCCACTGCATTCCAGCCTGGGCAAGAGAGCAAGATTCTGTCTCCATCAATCAATCAATAAAAATATAAGGAGGAAGCATTTACTGTGTATTTATATGTCTGGTATTATGTGAAGCACTTTACTATCTTATCAAATCTTCGGGACAGATCTTCAGTTCTCATGACCACAAAAGAGGATACTAAAGCTCAGACAGGAGAAGAGACGTGGCCAGCCTGTGTCCCCAGGGCCTATGGTCTTACCACTAGGTTACAGTGTTTCCAGATATCACATGTTGTGAGATTTTTGCTTTAAAATGAACCAAAAAAAAACCAAAGGTGAAAAAGGCATAAGCTATTAAAAAGTGGGAGAAACACTAAGAGAACCTTAAGCATGTAACTAAAAATATTATGGAAATGTTATTGAATTCATTAGCAAATTTAGTGCTAGGTTTTCATTGAGGAGTAGGTTATATTACTCATGATGAAGAAAAATGTTCATTTTAAGTATATTAACATAAATACCATCAATATTGTTTATCATGTTTAAATGTTCACTTAAAGCAATTCAGTTAAAATTCTGCATATCATACAATTTTATAGTTTGCTAGTAGGTTACAAGTAAATAGTCACCCAAATAAAAACATCACGTTTTCCACTGGTTGTTGCTCTTTTTTAGGTGAGTATTTGATGTATACCAACAGAGAGAGGATAATAACAAATCGCTAATTTCTTTCATCACTATATAAAGGTGGCTTCAGGATAGAATAGTAGCAGGGCAATGATGAATTTGAAATCTAACATCAATTCAGTGATGCATCAAGATAAAAGTAGAGACAATAGGGGCACCTTGGAGAGTACTGAACATTTTATTTATTTATTTATTTTGAGATGGAGTTTTGCTCTTTTTGCCCAGGCTAGAGTGCAATGGTGCAACCTCGGCTCACCGCAACCTCTGCCTCCTGGGTTCAAGCGATTCTCCTGCCTTGGCCTCCCGAATAGCTGGGATTACAGACATGCGCCACCACACCCGTCTAATTTTGTATTTTTAGTAGAGACGGGGTTTCTCCATGTTGGTCAGGCTGGTCTCGAACTCCCGACCTAGATATCTGCCTGCCTTGGCCTCCCAAAGTGCTGGGATTACAGGTGTGAGCCACCGCACCCGGATGAATTCCAAATTTAACAAAACAGACTAAGAGAAACAATTCATTTAAAAAAATAATATTTGGCCAGGCATGGCGGCTCACACCTGTAATCCCAGCACTTTGGGAGGCTGAGGTGAGTGGATCAGGAGGTCAGCAGTTCAAGACCAGCCTAGCCAAGATCATGAAACCCCATCTCTACTAAAAATACAAAAATCAGCCAGGCATGGTGGCTGGTGCCTGTAATCCTAGCTGCTCGGGAGGCTGAGGCAGAGAACTGCTTGAACCCGGGAGGCGGAGGTTGCAGAGAGCCGAGATCGTGCCACTGCACTCCAGCCTGGGCGACAGAGTGAGGCTCTGTCTCAAAAAAAATAAATAAATAATTCAATGAAATCCCTAAGATTCAGGGCTTTGCAATAAATATGTAAATAAATTTCCAATCTCCATACTGAAAGTTTAAAAGAAATGCTAACTAATAACTAAAGAAATACAACTTTTCCTCAGCTTTGCAGCAATCTAGAAACAAAGTGTGTAGACACTACAAAGCACCTTACAAGGAGAAACGTGTAAGGATGGCATGACTCGCCGGCAGCCCTGGGCTTGTCCACGGTACCCCCATGATGAACAGTAACTCCATTGTGTAAACGCCCATGAACATAAGATTACAGGACTTTTCCAGTTTAGACATACCATATTTTCTTTCAGACAATTCTTCAGTTTGTTTACATAGATCAGCGATACGATGATTCCATTTCTCTGAAAATCAAGCAAAAGTTGCTTCTCAATAATACGTCCCTATGTCAGAGCAGCACTAACGTATAATGACTGATTTCATATATTTTACATTCTAACAGTCCATATCATTTTACTGCTTTCAAGAAAAAATTTCCCCTTTTTGGTGGTTCTTAGAATGGTTTAATGGGAGACTATTAGAGAAGCTGAAAAGCAGGAGGGCAGAGAAGTTCAATCAAATTAAACACAATAACAGGGAGGTCACAATGAGGCGGTCTCCAGGGGTCTTTTAGCAAACTTCCTAAAACATGTCTCAGCTGTGTGAAATAAGACTTTACAGCAGCCGGGTGCAGTGGTGCAGGCCTGTAATCCCAGCACTTTGGCAGCAGAGGCAGGCGGATCACTTTGAGCTCAGGGCAACATAGCCAAAAGCCCCCTCCCTAGCCCCACCCCCACCCCGTCCCTACCAAAAATACAAAACAGCAGGGCATGGTGGCGGGCGCCTGTAGTCCCAGCTACTCAGGAGGCTGAGGCAGGAGAATCACCTGAACCCAGGAGGCAGACATTGCAGTGAGCCAAGATCACGCCACTGCCAGCCTGGATGACAGAGCAAGACTCCACCTCAAAAAAAAACAAAAACAAAAACACAAGGTTAAGAGGGACCCCCGACCTTACAGATACAAGTTTAAGAGGGACCTCTAAGCAAAAAATGCCAACCCTTTTTCTCCCAATCACTGAAACACCAGGAGGGTGTAACAGTTTTGCAGCCTAGCTGTAGCAGGCTGATGCCCCCCAGATGCCCATATCCTAATCCCGGGAACTGGTGAACATGACCTTATATGGCAAAAGGGGCTTTGCAGATATAATGAAGTTAAGGGTCTTTGGCTTTTGGGGTTGATGTACTCACTCGGATCCTTGTAAGAGCAGAGCAGGTGATGGAGAGGGTGGGAGGTGTAGTGACAGAAGCAGGAAACTCCAGTCATTCAAGACGGGCAGCACAAGCTGAGGAGTGCAGGCCACCTCTACGGCCAGGAAACAGATTCTCCCGCAGAGCCTCAGAAGCCACCAACCCTGCTCCCACCTTGACTCAGAAGGACTTACTGTAGAATTCTGGCCTTCAGACTTGTAAGGGAATACATTTTGGTTGTTTTAAGTCACTAAGTGTGTGGTAATTTGTTGCAGCAGCCACAGGAAACTAGTATTGTAGTGAAGCCTCAAAACCCCCCTGAAGGGGCTGGGCTCAGTGGCTCATGCCTGTAATCCCAGCACTTTGGGAGGCCGAGGTGGGTGGATCACTTGAGGTCAGGAGTTCGAGACCAGCCCAGCCAACATGGTGAAATGCCATCTATACAAAAAATACAAAAACTAGCCGGGCATGGTGGCACATGCCTGTAATCTCAGCTACTCAGGAGGCTGAGACAGGAGAATTGTTTGAACCCAGGGGGGCGGAGGTTGCAGTGAACTGAGATTCCACCACTGCACTCCAGCCTGGGTGACAGAGCGACGCTCCATCTCGAAAACAAAACAAAACAAAAAAACCCCACCTGAAGGTTTCCAGTTCTGCCAGCAGTCTCCCACCCAACCCCCAGAAGCAGACATTCCATTGCTGTGGGCCATGGACAGGCAGAAGGAAGCACCTCCTCATGGCAGAGGCCTACCCAGGAGAAACCCAAGGGAAGGCACTGCTGGGCTGGCCCCTCTCTGCCAAGGCCATATTCTTTTTTTTTTTTGAGGCCAGTTTCACTCTGTCTCCCAGACTGGAGTGCAGGGGCACAATCTCGGCTCACTTCGACCTCTGCCTCCCCAGTTCAAGTGATTCTCCTGCCTCAGTCTCCTGAGTAGCTGGGATTACAGGAGTGTAGCATGCCTAGCTAATTTTTGTATTTCTAGTAGAGATGTGGTTTTGCCATGTTGCCCAGGCTGGACTCGAACTCCTTGCCTCAAGTAGTCCACCTGTCTCAGCCCCGCAAAGTGCTGGTATTACAGGAGTGAGCCACTGCACCCAGCATTTGCCAAGACCTTTGATGGCAGGCTTTTTCCAGGTGATCAGTCCTTGTCTGGTCTGGCTCTGCCCCACTCTCCTTCTCACCTAGTTGGAATCCCTAGCTACTTTTCAGTAGAGGAGAGTGTGTACCCCAATCCCAGCTTGGTTCAGATCTGCATTTAACTCATGGAACCTGGCTGCTCCCCAGGTCCTGAAGGAAAAAACGGTCTCTCTGTGCGTATGATAAAGGATGGGCCTGTCCCCAGGACCCTGTGAGAGGGAAGCCCAATGTCCCACCAGGTTGGCAGGGCTGGGGAAGGGAAAGTGTTATGGCAGCCCCAAGAAAAAAAAGAGGCAGCAGAGGGAGCAGGACAGCGCTCACATGGAACTCATGCCACTGCCTGAATGAGGGGAG
Organism: Homo sapiens; assembly: GCF_000001405.40. NCBI lineage: Eukaryota > Metazoa > Chordata > Mammalia > Primates > Hominidae > Homo > Homo sapiens. The sequence goes on along the minus strand of NC_000005.10, from coordinate 181,289,297 downwards.
GGAGGAGTGCACGCCAGTGACGTCAGGGGGCAGAGAGGCGCAGTTCCAGGGCGGCTTTCCCCCTCACTTCCTGCCATGTTACTCTGATCGCCTCCAGGTGAGCCTGCCCACTTTGTGCCCAGGGGCCTGTAGAAAACCACAGCTCCCCATGGTTATGGCCCCAGGAGTGGGGCAGAGCAGGGAGGAGTCCTGGACAGAGGAGAGGCAGGGGCAGGAGGGAGTGGGCCTCAAACTCCAGGAGGGGGCCCTTCTCATGGGTCCTGCTTTCTGGCTTCTCCTTCCTTACACCTGGGCTGATCACTTGGGGAAGAACTGAGACAAAGTTTCTCACCCTCAGGCCCAAAGGGTTTAATTACTGGGCCCTTAGGGAGGTGTGAGCCCCCTGAAAGGATGCAAGGTTTTGTTTTGTTTTGTTTTTTGAGACAGAGTTTCGCTCCTGTCGCCCAGGCTGGAGTGCAGTGGCGTGATCTCACCACACTACAACCTGCGCCTCCCAGGTTCAAGTGATTCTCCTGCCTCAGCCTCCTGAGTAGCCGGGATTACAGGTGCCTGCCACCAGGCCCAGCTAACTTTTTGTATTTTTAGTAGAGATGGGGTTTCACCATACTGGCCAGGCTGATCTCAAACTTCTGACCTCGTGATCCACCCCACCTCAGCCTCCCCAAGTGCTGGGATTACAGGTGTGAGCCACCATGCCCGGCCCCAAATTATCTTTTAATTTTAAAGACATACATATTGTTTAAACAAGTCAATAAATAACTATATTGAATAACAAAGTGAAGCCTTCCCTTTACCACAATCAACCTACTGTTCTCTCTCTATCTGAGGCTCTCTTCCTACGTTCCACTGTCCCAGACTTCTGCAAAGTATTTATGTATCTATTTAGGTATCTGTCCATCTTTCCATTCCTTTCTCAATTATATATTCTGGTGGTTTCGCTCTCCACGTGGCAACTCTACATCCAGGATCAAAACGGCATCAAAGGAAGCTTGGAACAGTGACAACCCCTACCTGAGATGTCTCATTCCAGGGGCAAGGCTGCCTGGTGCCTGATACCCATGAGATTAGGAAAAGCAGGTGGGGTCCTGTCCACCCCTTCTATTCCCGAACGCTTGGCAGAGTTCCTGTGGCTAACATGCCAGTTGTATCAACTTCTGCGCAGTCTCATGTGAAGTGCCACACTACGTTCTCAGCCTGGGAGGTTTCAGGGCTCAGCTGGCTCAGATCCCATGTGTGGGGAGCATTAAGAAAAATATGTCACCTGTATAAGACTAGTGGCAAAAATCTGACTCAGTGCTACTTCTCTGTTTGTCCTTTACTTAAAAGGTGAACCATAATTAAAATGATCCAGAAAAGAGAACCAAGCAGGAAACTGAGTTGCTTGGGGAAAGGACCATGCTGCATTGATTTTTACATACCCAATGCCAGCAGTGCATCAGGTACACAACAGGTTCTCAATAAATTGTTAAATGGGTAAGTTGATAGAATAAAAAACAAGGTCTCTTCCCAGTGCTGCATGCAGAAAAGCTCAGTTAGAGTGAATTCTTATTTGCAGAGATGAGAGATTTTTAGTCTTCTGATGGCTGTTTCCTCCTCTCTGTTTTCTTTGCCACAGTTTAGGGGCAAAGAAAAGTTTCTCTCTCTCTGAAATGGTAGGAGAAACCCTTGGGGCTTAGCTAACAAATCAGGCTCTCTCTTTCACATGTTGTGAGAATAGAAATATTTAACCATCAGCACAGACAATGTCATTTGCATAAGGGAGTGACTTCCTGGCTGAGAGATGGTCAGAATAACATACAGCCTAGGAGTGAAGGCAGTGAAGTTTGCGAGCCTAGGGCTCTGGTTCTGGTGTCTGCTTCATGGCTGTGTGATCTTGGGCAAGTTTCCTAAATGCTCTGCTTCTAAGTTTTGTCATCCATAAAATGATAACAACAGTACCTGCCTCAAATAGTGTGTGGAAGAGGCTTAAACAAGCTAATGTAAGTCAAATCTTGAGCACAATCCCTGGTGTAGCTATACATGTTTGTGTATATATCAGAAGCTCGAAATTATACCATTAGTATTAAGAACATACTCTGGACCCTCATTATGCTGCTATTCTCAATATCCCAACACTTGATTTCTATTGACAACTCCTAGGCTCAACTGTTCCGCCCACCTCAGCCTCCCAAGTAGCTGGGAATACAGCCACCACACCTGGCTAATTTTTAATTTTTTTTGGTAGAGACAGGGTCTTGCTATGTTGCCCAGGCTGGTCTCAAACTCCTGGCCTCAAGAAATCCTCCCACCTGGGCCTCCCCAAGTGCTAGGATTTACAGGCATGAGCCACCATGCCCAGCTCCCTTCCTCCCCTTTGCTCTCCTAACTCCATCTCAGCATCCGCCCCTGAGGACAAATGCAACAGGGCAATCAGTACATCCATGAACTTCCCATCAGTCCTGTGGTGGACTAACCCAGGGACAATGGTCACTGTCCCCTCTGGTGCATTCTTTGTCCCCATCAGCCTAGTAAGCTCCGGGGCTGGCAGCTGGCACAGAGTAGGAGGCTGCACTCCCTGACCTTTCTATGCTACACACAGTCCTGTGTCCATCCTGTCCTCAGACCTGCCAGGGCCATGACCAACCTGCCAAGAGTGTGGGAATTGGTATGTGACCCAGCTCTAGGAGGAGGTGGAGCAAGCAAATATAGGGGAAGCTGCTCCCCCAGTAGGTTTAGAGGGAGAGTGGGGTGGGGGCGCAGCAGGGCCAGGCGGGTTAGGGTGTGTGGGTGACATTGTGCAGGTGAGGGTGTGCGGGTGGGGGTGTGTGGGTGGGGGTGTGTGGGTGAGGGTATGAGTGCCTGTCTGGCTCTCCTGGGTGGGGCTGGATGAATGTTTGGGCACAGGCAGCGGCTGTCACATGGCCTGGCTGTGGGTTTGAGACAGAAGCCAGGCAGGTGGGCTGTGTCAGGCACAGCTACAAACTGTGCCAAGGAAGCGGACCAGAGCAGGGGCCCAGGGAAACCTCTGCCTTAGCAGAAGATACTGGGGAGACAGGATCAATCGGGGAGGTCTTCCAAGGCACATGGTGCTTCATGGAGCCAGGGCCCAGGACAGGGAGGGCTGTAACCCTGGCTTGCCTGATTGGCTGAGCACAGACAGAAGAGGGTGTGGGCAGCCCGCCAGGTGGATGCCTAAGTGAGGAAGGAATGGGTGGCCAGGTGACTGAGACCGCCAAGACCAGGACCCCACTGTCAGGCCTGTGGCTTCCCAACGCCTGTGGGAAGTGTTCCCCTTTGGACACTGAGGCCATCGGCTTCAGCTTCACACCCTTTTCCAGACAAAGACCCTCAGGTAACCTCAAAAGTCACTTCTGGCCTTCCCCAGAGGGGAAAGGAGAGGGGTGCCTGTGGGCAGGTGACCCTCAGTGCTGGTGGAGGGCACAGCAGAGAGACTGCCTGCATATGGGAGGCCCCCAGCAGACCTTGCCCAGACATCAACCCTCGTTTGAGGCAAACTGTAAAATTATCACAATTTAGGCCAGGTGCAGTGGCCTATGCCTGTAATCCCAGCACTTTGGAAAGCCATGGCAGAAGGACTGTCTGAGCCTGCAGTGAGCTATGACTACACCCCTGCACTTCAACCTGGTCAACAGAGGAAGACACTGTATCTAAAATAAATAGGCTTGGCGTGGTGGCTCACACCTGTAACCCCAACACTTTGGGAGGCCGAGGCAGGTGGATCACCTGAGGTAAGTAGTTCGAGACCAGCATGACCAATATGGTGAAACCTCATCTCTACTAAAGACACAAAAATTAGCCGGTCGTGGTGGACCGTGCCTGTAATCCCAGCTACTCAGGAGGCTGAGGCAGGAGAAATAGTTTGAACCCAGGAGGCAGAGGTTGCAGTAAGCCAAGGTCGCGCCACTGCACTCCAGCCTGGGCGACAGAGTGAGACTCCACCTCAAGAAAATAAATAAGATGGGAAAGCTATGTTCTTAACATTTTTCAAATGATAATTCATACTAAAGAATGTTACCAATAACATTATAACTTATACCAATAACTTATAAAATAACATTATAACTTATACCAATAACTTATAAAATGCACAAAGCATTTTATAAGTTTTAGACTATTAATAAAAAGACACGAAAACTGAGGTATTTGTAATCATGCTTAATATTGGAAGTTCCTATACCTGCAATGTAGCAACTAATTATACAAAAATTTAATAAATGACAAAATAAAATTTTGCAAACAGATTTGTAATAACCAGAAAGAAATCTGTATTGGCAATTAATGTAACATAATTAAAAATAATTTGTTATGGTCATCTGCTAAATGCTAATTAATGTAAAATGTTAAAAGATTATTTCAATTATGACATCCTAATTTTTAATGGCTTGAAATATTATAAATATAAAAAACAGGTTTCTAAATTTAAAAGAAGAATGACTAAATTTTTCAGAAATATTTCATATTTCTTGTCATACAATATAAGAACACCATTCCATGTTTCCTTTTAGATTAGGAACCTTCCCTTATCTCACTGAAAGGAGAATGCTGGAAGGTGCTAGTAAGATGACAGTCTGTCTAAGGACTCCAGAACTGAAGGAATTGTTTTGTGGCAATGCATGTCACTTCCCTAACTCAACTGGAAAAGGAGACAAAAACCTAGTGTTTTCAACCCTCAAGCTAGCAAGAAAACACAGCCCAGGTAAGATCATCTCTTCTCCAATGGAGCTGGAGTCTACTCAACAAGAGGCGACCATTTAGAATAGAATTGTTCAGAAGTTTGCTAACAATAAGCAGCCAACATAGACACATTCTCCATTAAATCTAAAATTCCCTTTTCCCCCACTAGGGTGCCTGAGGGGCATGTAGCAAAAGTGATCCCAACCACACCACGCAAACTAGCCAGGAAACCTTTTTGCCTTCACACATCTGAGAGTCCCTGAGAAGCCGGAGACAACACAGAGGCAGCAAAACACCAACAGGAGAGTCCCAGCATCAGTTCCTGGCCACAGAAACCCTCCTGAGCAGCAGGCAGAACAGAATCCACTACAGCAATCAGCCTGCCAGAGAAGCCTCTGCCCCTGTGGTGTGAGGATCCACTTCCCCCAGGTGACACCACAGGCAGGTGGGCTGAAGAAGTGGGAAGGTCAAATCGACTGGCCCAGCCAGGATGCCTCTTTGATGATACAGGTGGTACCGGTCTAAGCCTCCCCTCTTCCACAGGGGAAACTAGGTGGCCCAAAGGGTGCCCAGAGGCAGGGGACCTGCCACAGCAGCCACCCTCCTGGGAGGTTCCCTTTCTTCCCCTTCGTGAACTCCCTCTAACACACAGCTTGCCAGGGAAGCACCCTTTGTCTTACATGGAGGGATCCCACCACACCAAAACCCAGCCAAAGAAGCCTTTTGTCCCTTAAGGGTTACCACAACCAAAAACAAAAAGATACACAAATAGTAAGCCCCTAAATTCTGTTAAGAATGAAACAATGCTGCCACTCACACCTGGCTCAGACGCCAGCAGAAGGAGGGCACCCTCCAGAGACCGCAGGAGAAGGGGGAGGACTCCTCCTTGCCCTGGTCCACCACTGTCACTGAGGCCTGCGGTACAGAACCGGCAGCTTCTTACCCACCCCAGGCCGGGCCGGGCCCCAGAGCTCTCCTACTCCCCCTTCCTGGCCCCTAGACTTGCTGCTGCTGCCACCATTAGCGCCGACGCCAACGGAACCAGCGCTGCTGTCACCCTCCATGCACCTACCCACCCTCCAAGGCTCCTACTACTTGGCCTCCACGGGTACCCTCCTACCACTCCTGTTGAGCTGCAGTCTCCATCACCGTGGCCGCCACAACCGCAGGAGATGAATCACAGAGCTGTGCCATCTTCAGGCTACAACCTCCAGCTCACCACAGGGGACTCCTCCTTCATCAGCCTGGCTTGGAGCAGCTGGGCAGACAATGCCAGAAAAACCTACAACAGGATGCAGAAAGTGGCAGTGTTGGAGCCTCACCTTGTCATGCTGGCCACTGGGTGGCAGGGACCAGTTTCAGCAAAGGCACTCACACCTACCCTCCAAAGTCCAGCCTCTCCTCCTAGACCAAGCTGGCCTCCTGACCTGGGGTGGGGACTGGAGACACCACAGTGCCCAGGGCTCACTGGGGAGCAAGAATAGCAGAAACTCAGACCCAGCCAGTCCTCTCCACCCAAGTACCAGTTCCCATTCCTCACTCCTCCACCCACAGGACCCTGAGCCCCCGTGGTGCCCACTACTCCACGCCTGGGGCCCCCAGATGGTCTCCACACCACGCAGCAAGAGGGCAAGGGCCGGGGAACCATGGTGGGTGTGAGGGCCCTGGGGTGGTCAGAGGATTGCCGTGAAAACTCTGTACACCCTCCACGCTCCAACACGAGCAGAAGTTGTTCACCCTCTAGAGCCTTGAGTCCGGGAAGAGGAGAAGGGCCCCTTCCTCAGAGGCCACCACTGTCGTGGCCACCTCCACAACCTGCCGCTGGCAGCAGCAGTGCAGCCTCCCCCCATAGCGCCCCAACCTGCCCCCCCACCGACAAGCGTAGCCCCCGGATTGTGCCCACAACACACCCAGAGACTGCTGCAGGCAGTGTAACCCTGATAGCGCCCCCAAACCACCCCTCTGCTCCTGGCAGTGTAACACTCGATAGTGTCCACAACCCATCCCCGCCACGGGTGTTGCAGCACCAAATAACACCCCACCAAACCCGCCCCCCACCCGAACCACAAGCAGCACAGCCCCAGATAGCGCCCCCAATCTGCTCCCGTCTCGGGCAGTGAACGCCCAGGGCAGTGCACCCAACCAACCCCCCACCCCACCTTCCCCTTTCCCCCACGGACAATGCAGCATTTGACAGCTCCCCTAAAGCACCCCCGACTGCCTGCCAGTTGGCATTGTTGCTGACATTGTAGCCCACGATAGCTCACCCAACCCGCCCCCTGCATCAGCCAGTGCAGCAGCTAATAATGCTCCTAACCCCCTGCCACCCGCCACTGGCAGTGCACGACAGTGCACACAACCCACAACCTGCCTCCAACCCCCCGCCCCCTTAGGCAGTGTAGAGCCTGATAGTGCAGCGAACCTGCCCCACTGCCAGCAATTCAACGCCTGATAGCGCCACCCACCAGCCCCCCGCGGCAGGCAGTGCAGCCCCAAAAGCACGCCACACCCGCTCCCCTACCACCCCGCAAGCGGGCAGTGCAGCCGCAGAGAGCGCACCTACCCTGCCACCTTTCTACCAGTCTAACAGAGATGCAGTCTCCGTCGCCACCACCAACCACAGCCAGGAGAACCGCGGTGGCCAAGGCTCCAGCCACGAGTGTTGGACACGGTCCCCACCTTCTCCTAGACCTCTAGCCGGTCAAGAGCATCTCCAGCTGCCACCCACCCTCCTACGGCTCAGGCCGCCCTCTTACTGCTCCAGCCCCCCTCCTACCGCTCAGGCCGCCCTCTTACTGCTCCAGCCCCCGCCTACCGCTCAGGCCGCCCTCTTACTGCTCCAGCCCCCTCCTACCGCCCCGGCCGCCCTCTTAGTGCTCCAGCCCCCGCCTACCGCTCAGGCCGCCCTCTTACTGCTCCAGCCCCCGCCTACCGCCCCGGCCGCCCTCTTACTGCTCCAGCCCCCCTCCTACCGCTCAGGCCGCCCTCTTACTGCTCCAGCTCCCGCCTACCGCTCAGGCCGCCATGTTACTGCTCCAGCCCCCTCCTACGGCTCAGGCCGCCCTCCTAAAACTCCAGCCACACTGCCATCTCTGTTGCCACCACCATCCAGAGTGAGACGAGCCACGGTGTGGCAGGCTCCAGCCTCCAGCTCCCCCTTCTCCTGGTCCTCTAAGTCGGGGACAGAGTAGCTCAGTGGGAGATACTGGAGAGCCTAAACTGGCGTGAGGCCTCCTCAGCATGCACATTGGGTTATGCGCATGGTTTCTGGACTGCATGTTCTGATTGGGTGAGAGAAAACCTCTAGGCCTTCTCTGATTGGACTTTATTTTCATACTCTGATTGGTTGTCCAGTCCTGGAACATGTAGTCCAGGAACCGCATATGAATAACCTCAGTATATAATTGGTGCTGAAGAAGAGAGGCTCTTCCAGGTTTTTCTGTGTCTGCTCCCGGTGCTGCTCCGAGCCCGGATTAGAGGACCAGGACAGACTGGAGGCTGTAGTTTGCGCACCGCGGCTGGCCTCCCTGCAGTTGGTGGCGACAGAAACTGTAGTGTAGCTGGAGTGGTAGGAAGGGGAAAATAGTTTTGGGATAGATGGAGGGGTAAAGAGGGTGGTTAGTGCCAAAAGGAAAAAAGGATGGCGAGCCAGAGAAGACATTGCATAAAGACGGTGAGAAAAAGATGTTGGGGAAAAAAAATTGAGGGGTAGATGGAGGGGGAAAACAGGGTGGTGAACAGGAGGGAGAGAAGGTTTCATAGAAAGACGGTGGGGAAAAAGTTTTTGGGTAGATGGAAGGGGGAAAGAGAGGGTCGTGAGGGGGGAACGGGGATGAGCAGGAAGGAGAGAAGGTTTGCAAAAATACGGTGGGGAGAAAAGAAAGGGAAAGAAGACTGTAGGTAAAAAGATTTTGAGTAGATGGAGGGGGGAAAAGGGTGACAAGTGGGAGGAGAAAAGAGCGTGCAGAAGAGGGAGGGGGAAGAGAGTGTGGTGAGCAAGAGGGAGAGAAGGTTTTGCAAAAAGACAGTGAGGAGAGAAGCTTTTAGGTAGATGGAGGGGGAAAAGAGGGTGGCAAGTGGGAGGAGAATAGAGAGGGTGGCCAGAGGGAGTGGGGAAAGAGGAATGGGAAAAAGGCTATGGGGAAAATAGTTTGGGGTAGATGGAGGGCAAAAACAGGGTGGCAAGCAGGATAGAGGAAAGAAGAGGGCAGGCGGGAAGCGGGGAAGGCTTTGTGAAAAGATGGCAGAGAAAAATTGGGGAGGTAGATGGGTAAAAGAGCGTGGTGAGCAGGAGTAGAGAAGAGGCTTTGTAAAAAGACGGCGGGGAAATGTTTTTGGGTAGATGGAGAAGGGAAGGAGGGTGGCAAGGAGGAAGGGAGAAAAAGATGATAGGGAAACAGTTTTTGGGTAGATGAAAGGGGAAAGAGGGTGGCGAGCAGCAGGAGTGGGGAGAAGGCTTTGGGAAAAGTTGGGGGAAATGTTTTTGGGGAGATGGAGGAGCAAAAGAGGGTAATGAGAGTGGGAGGTAGAAAAAAGGGTGGCCAGGGAGAGGGAGAAAAGACAGTGGGGAAAAGTTTTGGGGTAGATGGGTGGGGAAACGGTAGTGAGCGGGAGAGTATAGAAGGCTTTGCAAAAAGACAGTGGGGAAAAAATGGTGGGGAAAAAGTTTTGGGGTAGATGGAGGAAGAAAAAGGGTGGCGAGAGAGGGAGCCAAAGACGGTCGGGAAAAAAATTCCTCCTGTTACTGATTTTTTGATACTCTTCCCCTCTGGTCAGAAAAAATAATTGATATGATTTCAGGTTTTTTTGTTTTGTTTTGGTTTGGTTTGGTTTTTTGAGATGGAGTCTCGCTCTGTTGCCCAGGCTGGAGTGCAGTGGTGTGATCTCGGCTCACTGCAAACTCCACCTCCCGGGTTCAAGCCATTCTTTTGCCTCAGCCTCCTGAGTAGCTGGGATTACAGGCATGCGCCACAACGCCCAGCTAATTTTGCGTTTTTAGTTCTAAATGGGGTTTCTCCATGTTGGTCAGGCTGGTCCTGAACTCCGTTGATTGGCCCACCTCTGCCTTCCAAAGTGCTGAGATTACAGGTGTGAGCCACCGCACCTGGCAAGGATGTTGAATTTTATTGAATGTTTTTTCTACATTTATTGAGATAATCATATGATTTTTGTTTTAAATTCTGTTTATGTGGTAAATCACATTTATTGATTTGCATATATTAAATAGTCCTTGGATCCCAGGAATAAAACCTATGTAATCACGATGAACTACATTTTTGATATGCTGATGGATTTGGTTTACTAGCATTTTGTTGAGGATATTTGCATCTATGTTCATCAGATATTGGCCTGTAGTTTGTTGTTGTTGTTTTCTTGCTAGATTTTAGTGTCAGGATGATACTGGTTTTGTAGAATCAGTTAGAGAGGAATTCCTTCTCCTCAATGTTTTAGAATGGTTGCAGTAACATTGATACCATCTATTTTTTTGTATGTTTGGTAAAATTCAGCTGTGAATTCATCTAGTCCTGGGCTTCTCCTGCTTGATAAATATTTTTATTACAAATTCAATTTCATAATTAACTACTGGTCTGTCCAGATTTTTTTAAATTTATAGAGAAAAAATATTTATTTGGTTTATAGTTGTGCAGGCAGTAGAAGCATGGGACTAGCACCTGCTCAGGTTTGGGTGAGACCTCAGAAAGCATCCAATCACAGAGGAAGGCAAAGGGAGGGCCAGTGTATCACGTGTCGAGAGAGAAATCAAGAGCAAGAAGGGGAACATGGCAGGCTGTTTTAAGCAACCAGGTCTCGTGTGACACAACAGAGCAGGGACTCGCTCATCGCCAAGGGGATGGAGCTAAGCAATTTATGAAGGGTCCACCCCCATGATTCAACACCTTCCACTAGGCCCACCACCAACATTTGAGATCACATTCAACAAGAGATTTTGAGGGTAAACACATCTAAACAATGTCATTTCACCCCTATGGCCCCCAAACCTCATGTCTTTCTCATATTGCACAATACAATTATCCTCTCCCAGTAGTCCCCAAAAATCTCAAGCTGTTTCAGCATCAACTCAAAAATCCGAAATATCATCTGAGCTTCTAGGTACGTTCCTCCACCTATGAGCCTATAAGATCAAAACCAAGTTATTTGCTTCCAATATTCAATGCAGTACAGGTGTTGGGTAAATACTCCCATTCCCAAATGGAGAAGTTGGGCAAAAGAAAGGGGCAACAGGCCTCAGGCAAATCTGAAACCCAGTAAGGCATACATTAAACCTTCAAGCTCCAAAATAATTCTTGATTTCATGTCCCGCATCCAGGGCACACTTGTGCAAGGGTGGGTTCCCAAGACCTTATGCAGCTCTGCCTCTGTGGCTTTGCAGTGTACAGTCACCATGGCTGCTGTCTTGGGTCAGAGTTGAGTGCCTGTGGTATTTCTAGGCTCAGGATGAAAGCTTCCCGTGGCTCTACCATTCAGGGATCTCGAGGTGGTGGCCCCATTCCCACAGCTCCAGTAAGCAGTGCCCCAGTGGGGACTCTGTGTGGAGGCTTCAATCCCACATTTCCTGTTGGCACTGCCCTGGTGGACTTTTGGTTTCTTTCTGATTCAGTCTTGGAAGGTTGTGTGTTTCCAGGAATTTACCCATTTTCTCTAGGTTTTCTAGTTTATGCACACAAAGATATTCATAGCAGTCTCTGAGGATCTTTTTTTATGTCGGTGGTATCCTTTGCAATGTCTCATTTGTCATTTTTTATTGTGCTTATTTGAATCTTCTTTTTTTCTTGCATAATCTAACTAGCAATCTATCATTTTTATGTGTCCTTGCAAAGAACCAACTTTTTAATTTTGCTGATTCCTTGTATGGTTTTTTTGGTCCCGATTTCATTAACTTATTCTCTAACCTTTGTTATTTCCTTCTACTACCTTTGGGTTTGGTTTGTTCTTTTCTAGTGTGTTTGTCTATTTTAGCTTGTTAATTTGAGACCTTTCTTTCTTTTTATGTAGGCATTTAGTGTTATAAACTCTCCTTTTAACATTGTTTTTTCTGTATCCCAGACGTTTTGGTATGTTATGTTTCTATTTTCATTTGTTTCAGGAATTTCTTTAAATTTCTGCCTTAATTCTGTTATTTACACAAAAGTCATTCATGAGCAGATTGTTTAGTTTCCATGTACCTCTGTGGTTCTGAGAGTTCTCCATATTGACTTCTAATTTTATTCCACAGTGGTCTGAGAAGATACTTAATATAGTTGCGATTTTTAAAAATTTATTGAGGCTTATTTTATGACTGAGCATGTGGTCAATTTTAGAGAATGTTCCATGTGCAAATGAGAAAAATGTACATTCTATGGTTTCTGGGTGGAGTATTCTGTAGATATCTATTAGGTCTGTTTGGTCAAGAGCCCAATTTGAGTCCACAGTTTCAATGTTAGTTTTTTGCCTAATAATCTGCCTAACTAATAATCTGCTTACTGCTGTCGGTGGGGTGTTGAAGTCCTCCACAATTATTGTACAGCTGTGTATCTCTTTTCTTAGGTCTAGTAATATTTATTCTAAAAATCTGGGTGCTCCAATGTTGGCTGCATATATATTTAAGACAGTTAAGTCTTCTTGTTGAATTGAACACTTTATCATTATATAATGCCCTTCTTTGTATTTTTTTTTACTGTTGTTGGTTTAATGTCTGTTTTATCTGATACAAGAATAGCAATACCTCTCCTTTTTTGTTTTTCATTTATGTGATGAATCTTTTTCCATCCATTTACTTTGAGCCTGTTGGGATCATTACACATGAGATGGGTCTCTCAAAGGCAGCAGAAGTGTCTTGTTTTTTTATCCAGTTTGCCACTCTGTGTCTTTTAAGTGGAGCATTTCAGCCATTTACATTCCAGCTTAATATTGATGTGTTAGGTTTTCTTCCTTTTATAGCATTAGCTAGTTACCTTGTAGTCTCAATTGTTTAATTGCTTTGTAGGTTCTGTACATTTTGTATTCATGTATGCTTTTATCATAGCAAGTATCATTCTTTTATTTTCACGAGTCAAACTCCTTTAAACATTTATTTTAGAGTCAGTCTGGAGGTAATGACTTCCCTTAGCATTTTCCTGTCTGGAAATACCTTATTTTCCTTTCTTTATGAAGCTCAGTCTGGCAGGTTATGAAATTCTTGCATGGCTGGGCGCAATGGCTCACGCCTGTAATCCTAGCACTTTGGGAGGCCGAGGCAGGCAGATCAGCTGAGGTCAGGAGTTCAAGACCAGCCTGGCCAACATGAAGAAACTCCATCTCTATTAAAAATACCAAAATTTGCCAGGTGTGGTGGCGGGCACCTGTAATCCCAGCTACTGGGGAGGCTGAGGCAGGAGAATTGCTTGAACCCAGGAAGCAGAGGTTGCAGTGAGCTGAGATCACACCACGGCACTCCAGCCTGGGTGGCAAAGTGAGACTCTGTCTCCAAAAAAAAGAAATTATTGGATGGCATTTTTTTTTTTCTTTGAGAAGGCTAACGCTAGGCCCCAATCTTTTCTAGGTTGCAGGGTATCTGCTGCTAAGTCTGTTGTTAATCTAATTTACTTTATAGGTAATTTGGCCCTTTGTTTGAGCTGCCTTTAATATATTTTCTTTTGCATTGACCACAGCTATTCTAATGACTGTGGATGCCTTAGGAATGGGCATCTTGTTTACTATCCCACAGGTGTTCTCTGAATTTCTTATATCTGAATGTCAACCTTTCTAGCAAGACTAGAGAACTTTTCCTAAATTATTCCCTTAAATATACTTTCTTAGTTGGTTACTTTTTATTCTTCTGTTGTAGGAATGCCAATAAGTTATAAGTTTGGTCACTTTACATAATCCCATATTTCTTAAGGGCTTTGTTTTTCAGTTCTTTTTTCTTTTATTTTTGTCTGACTGGGTTACTTTGAAAGACCAGTTTCAAAGTCTAAAATTATTTCTTCTGCTTGGTCTAGTTTATTGTTAAAGATTCCAACTGTGTTTTGAAATTCCATTAGTGAATGTTTTAATTCCAGAAGCTCTATTTGTTTTTTTCTTAATCCAGCTATTTATTTTTCCATATTTCAAATTGTACTTAATGATTGTTTTGCACATAAAATTAATGTATACAAGATTAATGCTTTAAAGGAACTAAGCACCCACCAGACTCAAGAAAAAATGATGTCCTATGATACATCTGAAAAAAAATTTAATCTTTCTATTAATTACAGTTATGCAAATTAAGATAATATGTATTTTTGTCTAGCAAAATAAAATATAAGTATCAGTTTTGGTGAAGCGAAAGCATAATGGACATTAATTTGCCGATTGGTGCTGCAAGTATAAATTGATTCAACATTTTGCAGGGACGTTAGTCAATATGTGTGAAAATTGTACACTAATATCTCTTTACACAGTAATTAAAGTGCTAGGACTTTTTGAAAAGAAAACATGTCTCAATGTGCCCATATTTGTTTCTGTGAAAATGTTTACAAAAAATGTTGTTCATTGAAAGCAATAAAATATTTAATAATAGAGAGAGTAGGCCTGTAAATCATGGAACTTATTCAACAGGGGATGCCTGAAGAGGGTCTAAAAATAATCTATATGTTTAAATAAATAAATTAAAAGAAATTTATTTTAAAATCCTACATTTAATTATATTAAAAATTATCAATTTAGGTGATAGGATTATTGGTAAATTTTAATTTTTTAGCATTTTTGTTCCTTTATGTGCCAATTTTTTGTATTACTGTCTTTTACTCCTTTTGTAGATAAAATATACTGTTTTAACATAAAATAAATGTCATTCATAATTTCTTATACAGTAAGAACATGTTTTGGGGGGTGTTTTGGGGGGAGAGGGGAAGGATAGCATTAGGAGATATACCTAATGCTAAATGATGAGTTAATGGGTGCAGCACATCAGCATGGCACATGTATACATATGTAACTAACTGGCACATTGTGCACATGTACCCTAAAACTTAAAGTATAATAATAATAAAAAATAAATAAATAAATTTTTAAAAAAAAAAGAACATGTTTTTGAGACAGGTTCTTGCTCTGTCACCCAGGCTGGAGTGCAATCATAGCTCACTGCAGCCTCAACCTCCCAGGCTCAAGCTATCCTCCCACCTCAACCTCCCAAGTGTCTGGGACCATGGCTGTGCACCACCATACCTGGCTAACTTTTAAAGAAAGATTATTGTAGAGCCAGTGTCTCACTGTGTTGCCCAGGCCGGTCTCAAACTCCTGGTTCAAACAGTCCTCCTCCCTCAGCCTCCCCAAAGTGTTGGGATTACAGGCGTAAGCCAATGCACACAGCCAGAGCTTTTTTAAAAAAAAGTATGCAATATATTTGGTCTTTAAAAAATGTTTTTGTTTGAAGAGCAAGGTACTCATGCAGGAAAATAATCCAATTTATGCTGCGGTTTAATTTAAAATGAAATCACTTGGCATTATTAAAAAATAAAATTTTGCCCAGGCGCAGTGGCTTACTCCTGTAATCCCAGCATTTTGGGAGGCCAAGGCAGGTGGATCACCTGAGGTCAGGAGTTTGCGACCAGCCTAACATGATGAAACCCCGTCTCTACTAAATACCAAAAAAAAAAAAAAAAAAAAAAGCCGGGTGTGGTGGCCCGTGCCTGTAATCCGAGCTACTCGGGAGGCTGAGACAGGAGAATCACTTGTACCTGGGAGGCAGAGGTTGCAGTGAGCCGAGATCGCGCCATTGCACTCCAGCCTGGGCAACAAGAGTGAAACTCTGTTTAAAAAAAAATTAAAATTAAAATAAAATTTCAAGTGTCCATTTGTTACCAAGAAAATAATTTTAAAAAACATTATTCTAATGCAATCTACAATTGTGTAGAATCATTATAGAATATACCACAGCATACTGCTGAGTTTTATTTGCTATTAAGATTAAGTGGGGCCGCACGGCCAGACAGGCCCTGCTCCTGAGGCCGGGCGGGCTGCGCGCCTGCGATCCTGCGCCTGTGGTCCTGGGGCAGCCCGGACCAGCGCAGGAGAACCCGCGAGCCCAGCGGCGCCTGCCCCGGGCTGCAGCCCCACCTGCCGGCGCGCCGCCTGGGAGCGGCTTCTGGGAGCCCGGCGGCCCCCGCGGTGCAGGCGCGCTGCTAATGGCCTTGCGAGGCTCACTGGGTCTGAGAGGTCGGAGGCTGGGAGTGTCGCTGCTGAAGGCTGTGGTGGACCCGGCTGGATCGCGGATTCTGGGCTAGATCGCAGATTTGGGATCGCGGGTTGGGGTTTGGATCGGGGATTTGGAGCTGGATCGGGGATTTGGGGCAGGGTGGGGGGCCGTGAAAAGGTGCCGTCATCTTACAGGGAGTTGCCCCGGCTGAGGAGCCGGTGGTTGGGTGTCTGAGAAGATTACAGGCGCCCGCCACCACGTCCAGCTAATTTTTGTATTTTTAGTAGAGACGGGGTTTCACCGTGTTGGCCAGGCTGGTCTCAAACTCCTGACCTCGTGATCCGCCCGCCTTGGCCTCCCAAAGTGCTGGGATTACAGGCATGAGCCACCGCACCGGCCTTATCACTACTATTATGGGTTTTTTTGTTTTTTTGTTGTTGTTTTTTGTTTTTTTGTTTTTGAGACTGAGTCTTGCTCTGTCGCCCAGGCTGGAGTGCAGTGGCGCCATCTCTGCTCACTGCAAGCTCTGCCTCCCAGGTTCACGCCATTCTCCTGCCTCAGCCTCCTGAGTAGCTGGGACTACAGGCGCCGCCACCACGCCCGGCTAATTTTTGTATTTTCAGTAGAGACGGGGTTTCACCATGTTAGCCAGGATGGTCTCCATCTCCTGACCTCGTGATCCACCCACCTCGGCCTCCCAAAGTGCTGGGATTACAGGCGTGAGCCACCGCGCCTGGCCTTGGTTGTCAACTTCTACATCAACTCTTGCTGTGAATTCCTCTGCTGAGTCTAGAATCTCTAAAGAAAAAAAAAGTTTATTTTTTTAGTTCAGAGACCAGAAAGTTATTAATTGTAAATGGCATCAGCAGTCCAACACAATGCCCTTAGGGGCAACAAAAAAATTAAGGCAAAAAGATTTTTTAAAGAATTAAAAAAGGGGACTAGAAATGAGTAGAGGAGCAGAAAAAGCAAGAGCACATCCAACTGGTAAATGAGATAAGATCAATTTAGAGAAAATATCCCAAAATGTCTTCAGTGGTACTTGCTGGGGTCATGTACATTTACGTAGGTTTGACCCAAAACAGCAGGCTATCTGCCTCACTGTCAAAACAACACACTTGAGAAATTAGTCAAAGCGTTCACATTTACTGACAGAGGAAATAAGTCTTAAATGTGTAGTTTATTTGTCTATAGAGTAAAGCAATTCCTGCAAAATGTTAAACATAATACCTGAAGAGCCAATGCTTCTTTGCACTCTGGAAAAGAACTGAAATTATCAGAAATTCTGGACTTTATGAGATAAAAATAAGAAATTAATGTAGGTTAGTCTTAAGATTAAAATTTGAAAGAAAAGCAGTTTGGAAAACCTTTTTTTTTTTTTTTCTGATGGAAAGCCCATCCTCTCCTACCTGTCCCTCATAACTGGCAGGTGTCACCTGGTTGGCCGCAGAAGGGCCTGCCAGCCGAGGGACCACATCAGTGTAAGAAGCAGCTTCCACAGGAGCTCAGCCAGGATCCTTGGAAAACGTCGGACCTTGCCAGGCCATGGTGCTCTGTTCACAAAGAGAAGATGCAGTTTCAGTAAAACAAAGAGTGTAATGTGAAATTTGTTAACAAAAATTATTGGCCAGGCGTGGTGGCTCACGCCTGTAATCCCACCGCTGGGAGGCCGAGGCGGGCGGATCACAAGATCAGGAGATCGAGACCATCCTGGCTAACACGGTGAAACCCCGTCTCTACTAAAAATATAAAAAATTAGCCAGGCCTGCTGGCACGCACCTGTAGTCTCAGCTACTCGGGAGGCTGAGGCAGGAGAATCGCTTGAACCTGGGAGGTGGCGGCTGCAGTGAGCTGAGATCGTGCCACTGCACTACAGCCTGGCGACTGAGCAAGACTCTGTATCCAAAAAAACACAAAAAAAAGTAACAGTAATGATAAAGACATCTGAGCAGCAACATACATAGTTACACATTACAAAACAATATTTTCAGTGTCATGTTTATATAATACTGCATTCTATGTTTCTGATCCAACACGGGAGCCTGCTGAGGCCTGGAGGATTTAACAATTGCTAAATACGTAAAGGCTTTAGGTAGTATGTTAATTTGTACTCACAAGCTGGCCTCCAGCAGGACTTCCTACCCCACAGACATAGCTCTGCACCCTTTCTGACCTGGAGATTGGGTGCTCCTGAAGGCCTGGAGAGAACAAGGCCCAGAGCACCAACTGGCCATCAAGTGGACGGGTTGTTGTTGGAGGTGTTGCTAAATGCCCACTCATCAGTCAAGCTTGCTGGGATAAAGCTGTGGGTACATCACACTGAATCAAGGCTGCACCACTGGAGGCCCCCTTCTGTCTCAGAAGCCAGAAAAACAGTGGGTTTGCAAGCCCGTGGAAGATCTAAAGTCTTTTTTAGTTTGGTTGGTTGTTTTGTTTTTGCAAAAAAGGTAAGTAAATTAAAAATGTACACCATTATTTGTCCTGTTTGTCTTTTGGGGACCCTTGCTTGCTTGACAAGGTAACTCCTTTTTTTTTATTCTTTTTTTTTTTTTTTGAGACGGAGTTTCACCATCTCGGCTCACGGCAACCTCTGCCTCCCGGGTTCAAGCGATTCTCCTGCCTCAGCCTCCCCAGTAGCTGGGATTACAGGCATGTGCCACCATGCCTAGCTAATTTTGTATTTTTAGTAGGATGGGGTTTTCTCCATGTTGGTCAGGCTGGTCTTGAACTCCCAACCTCAGGTGATCTGTCCGCCTTGGCTTCCCAAAGTGTTGGGATTACAGTTGTGAGCCACCGCTCCTGGCCAAGATAACTCTAGCAAGGATTTCCCAATGTAGTGCTCCTTCTGCTAACTTATCCCCTGCTGGATTTGTCACCCTGGACCTCATATAGTGCATGATCACTCTGACACTGTAGTTGCTACTTATACAAGCCTGCCCCCTTACACAATAGATCCCCAAAAGCCTCGTTCTCAAATCACCTATATAGTTTGTTTGATAACCTCATGCTCAAGGGACTCATGGCTCGTTATTACTCAGTCCCTCATTAGACACCATGTGCAAGCAAGTCATAAAGATCCACAGGCTTTTACAAGTACCTTCTACTGGCCGAATAGCCTCCCTAAGTTCACCACCTATTGCAAGACCTCAAGCGTGATGGCTTTTTCAGAACCACTGTCTTTCTTTAGATTATCTCTTTAATAAATGCTTCAACTCCTTGTTAAAGGGCACAATAGTATGCCAGCAAAGACATCTCCTTTCCTTAAGGTTGAGAAAAAGGAACAACCTGCCAGCTCAGAGGAAGAGGATCAACTCCCTCACAAGGATCCCTGGTTCAAAAATCTAACTTCTATCTTGCCTAAAATTGCCACTACAAACCATTAGGAGCAGGCACTGTCCTGGAGATACATATATGTGTGTGTGTATACATATATATATATAATATATATGTATATGTGTGTATACATATATATATATAATATATATGTATATGTGTGTATACATATATATATAATATATACGTATATGTGTGTATATATATGGGCAAAAATATATATATTTTTGTTTGTGGGAATAATGAAGAACCCTGGGCTGGTGATTGTTTAAAAGGTTGGACAGCGGGAGGATGTTTGTTAGGATTCCTCCTTTTATGATCTCATTTTCTCCCTTTGGCTGAGAAATTAATAGATATGGTCCTTAAAAAGAGAAGCCTGCCATACATTTTAACATGCATGTGTTAAAAATAGATTTTGTTTGTGTGAAAAATGAACACCAATAAAACTGATAGTTGTCTTCTGATGATAAAGGTAGTATGTGTTCCTGAAAATTTAGAATAAAATGTATATATCATAGGAGAATTCTACCACCCATATAAAACCTTTGTTAACTTTTTGAGGTACTTCTAGTCGTTAAAAAAAACATGTTTGTGTACAAACTTTTTTAGTTACAGCCCTACTTTATAAATTTTGTCATTAAACTTTTTGAAATATTTCATTTTTATTATTTAAATATAATTGAAGTAACAATTCTGTGGTTAAACATTTAAGCATTTTTGTACTTTGTTTATATTGTAAAGAACTTCACACTGAACAACCTTGAAATAATTCCCGGATCACATTTTTTATTTTCATAAGATGGATTCGTGGCCGGGCGCGGTGGCTCACGCCTGTAATCCCAGCACTTTGGGAGGCCGAGGCGGGTGGATCACAAGGTCAGGAGATCGAGACCATCCTGGCTAACACAGTGAAACCCTGTCTCTACTAAAAATACAAACAAATTAGCCGGGCGTGGTGGCGGGCGCCTGTAGTCCCAGCTACTCAGGAGGCTGAGGCAAGAGAATGGCGTGAACCTGGGAGGCAGAGCTTGCAGTGAGCCGAGATCGCGCCACTGCACTCCAGCCTGGATGACAGTGCGAGACTCCATCTCAAAAAAAAAAAAAAGATGGATTCATACATGTTAGCACTGAGTCATTTTTATGGATTGTAATTGGTACCTGGCTTTTCAGAAGGGAGTTCTTATTTGTGCGCCTGTGGGTTAGTCCATCTCAGTACTTCTGTCTGCATTCAGTGCTATCTATAAAGACTTTTTTTTTTGCCACTTTGAAAAGTGGTTTCTTCTTAACGTTTGTAACGAGCATGTCTTCAATTGCTTGTAAGTGAACATATTTATTGAAGGTATATTGGATGTGGCATTTCTTTGGTGAATTGCTTGTGTCCTTTGCCTATTTTTCGATTGACTTTTGGAAGAAAACCGGGCTGTTGTCTTGGAAAATGTCCCTCATTCTGGGTCTTTGTTTCCTGGAAGTGTCATTTAACATGTTCTTGCTCTGTTTCCCCAGATTCCTACAAACTGCACATTAGGATGGAGAGCTTGATTAGATTCAGGCTAAACATTTTTGGCAGGTATGCATGTGTGTGTTTCTAGAAGTTTGCTTAGAGGTAGTCTTAGATAACATTTTCAGCTGCTTCTATGACCATTGGTTGAGGTTTTCTGTGGTACTGGTTGTGGTATTGTGCTTGTTTTCTTTTTCTTTTTGTTTTTGTTTGAGACAGGGTCTCACTCCGTCACCCAGGCTGGAGTGCAGCGGCATGATCTCGCCTCACTGAAACCTCTGCCTCCCGGGTTCAAAGGATTCTCCTGCCTCAGACTCCTGAGTAGCTGGGATTACAGGCGCCTGCCACCGCGCCCCGCTAATTTTTTTGTATTTTTAGTAGAGACAGGGTTTCACCATCTTGGACAGGCTGGTCTTGAACTCCTGACCTCGTGATCCACCCACCTCAGCCTCCCAAAGTGCTGGAATGACAGGCGGGAGCCACTGAGCCCGGCCCGGAAGTTATAAATCTTGCAGTCCTCAGTTATGTGACTCTGGGGCAGTCGGTAACTTACAGAAAACCTGCTAAGCGACAGCAATCAGTGCTTAATTATTCCTATTCTTTAGCAAGGTCCAAGCCCCTGCCATAATACTAACCTTGTCATGTGAATGCAGCCCGAATCTCTGGATGGGGTGGAGGGGGTTCGTTTCCCTTGCCTCCAAGTTTAACTATAAACTAAATCCCTCTCATAGTTATTTTGGCCTCAGTGCTAGAATAACCAAGAGAAAAATACCAAAACAGCCTATAAGGTTAGAAGCCAGGTGGGCCAGTCTGTGGAGAAAAGAAAGAGATCAGACTGTTACTGTGTCTATGTAGAAAGAAGTAGACATAAGAGACTCCATTTTGTTCTGTACTAAGAAAAATTCTTCTGCCTTGAGATGCTGTTAATCTGTAACCCTAGCCCCAACCCCGTGCTCTCTGAAACATGTGCTGTGTCCACTCAGGGTTAAATGGATTAAGGGCGGTGCAGGATGTGCTTTGTTAAACAGATGCTTGAAGGCAGCATGCTCCTTAAGAGTCATCACCACTCCCTAATCTCAAGTACCCAGGGACACAATACACTGCTGAAGGCCACAGGGACCTCTGCTGAGGAAAGCCAGGTATTGTCCAAGGTTTCTCCCCATGTGATAGTCTGCAATATGGCCTCGTGGGAAGGGAAAGACCTGACTGTCCCCTAGCCCGACACCCGTAAAGAGTCTGTGTCGAGGAGGATTAGTAAAAGAGGAAGGCCTCTTTGCAGTTGAGATAAGAGGAAGGCATCTGTCTCCTGCTCGTACCTGGGCAATGGAATGTCTCGGTGTAAAACCCGATTGTATATTCCATCTACTGAGATAGGAGAAAACCGCCTTAGGGCTGGAGGTGGGACATGCTGGCAGCAATACTGCTCTTTAAGGCATTGAGATGTTTGTGTATATGAACATCAAAAGCACAGCACTTTTTTCTTTACCTTGTTTATGATGCAGAGACCTTTGTTCACGTTTTCCTGCTGACCCTCTCCCCACTATTACCCTATTGTCCTGCCACATCCCCCTCTCTGAGAAACACCCAATAATGATCAATAAATACTGAGGGAACTCAGAGACTGGTGCTGGCGCAGGTCCTCCGTATGCTGAGTGCCGGTTCCCTGGGCCCACTTTTCTTTCTCTACGCTTTGTCTCTGTGTCTTTCTTTTCTCAAGTCTCTCGTTCCACCCGACGAGAAACGCCCACAAGTGTGGAGGGACAGGCCACCCCTTCACCAGTCGTGGTAGGTTTCACTCATTGTTCATAATTTGGCAAAGGTGGTTTTGTTCTTTTGGGGGGCTTATGTAATTCAGCTGGGCACTGTCTCTTAGATTCCAGAAGTCCCAGCTGGACACAGTGAACGTGACCAGTGGGTCTGCATCAGGCCTGGTTGTAGGTTTGTGGCAGGTTTGACTATTACAGACTCTGGGAATATTGGTAGTTCTTTATCTGCTCTGCTTGAAATGTGATATCTCCACAGAAAGACACAAATCATACATTTGCAGCTGAAATGAATTTTCAAAGCGTACAGTCAGAACAGGAGATGGATGGAGCATCCCCAGAAATCCTGAGTCCACTGTACTCATTCTCCACCCCCACGTAACCACGGTCTTGCCTTCTCTGGCCCTGGAGTAGTTTTGTCTGTTGTGAGCATCAGAGAATGGAATCGTACAGTCTGATGCTCTTATGCCAGGCTTAATTCACTTAACGTCTATGAGATGCATCCATGACATAGCATGTAGTAAGTTCATTCTCACTTTGATGTAAATATTCCATCATGTAAATAGGCCAAATGTGCTTATGTGTTCTCTGGTTGATAGGAGGGCTGTTTCCAGTTTGGAAGTATTAGGAACAGCACCTTGATCACCTGTATCCATCTTTTGGTGAACATAAGCATGCATTTCTTGCCTCTGGGCATAGGGTTTAGGGTGGAGTCACTGGGTCTGAGGCATATGTATGTTTTGTTTTCAGTATGTATTACTTATTATTGTTTAAACCTTGAAATTAAACTTTCTGGCACGTTGGTCATTTCACTTGGGCAGGCTGGACTGGCCCACACCGGGGAGGGGCCTACCGTGAGATGGGGCTGAGAGCAGGGGGCTGTAACCTGGGCCTTGGGAGTCAACCCCAGCTCTCTCCTGACCTTCTCCCATCCTGGTCCCCCGTCTCCTGTCCTCAGGGAAGGTACCGATGCAGGGAACTCAGGAGCAGGGTGTTTTGATCTTCACTCTGATTAGGGGAAGAACCTGAGCTCAGTCTCCTTCTCCCACCACCTGCCTGGCCTGAAATTCCCACAAACCTAGGAGCCCTTTGGAATTGATGATGATGCATGCAGGGGCCCTCTCTCCTACTGCAGCCAGAGATTGGATGGACAGAGGGGCCAGGCCACTCCACCTCGTGTCCTCTCCCTGGTGCATGGGCCGGGAAGAGTGAAGGGGCTGTGTGCTTAAGGCCTAGCGCTGCAGAGGCTCCGAGAAAACCAGCTCCAGCCCCTGCTCCTCTCAGCCTCATCTAATTTACGGCCAGGCAGGGCAGGGGTTCTGTCTCTTGGGGCCGAGACCCTGGGAGCCTGCAGGACCCTGCCCGCAATGCACTGCAGCTCACTCCCTCTAGCCCTCTTCCGTGTTTTCCCAGGCCAGGACCAACAGTGCCTTCCCCCGAGTTAGTCTCAGTGAGCTACTGCCAAGAGCAATTCAGTGCACAGCCACACTTCTCCCTAACCTAGAGCCCACTCCTCCTCTGCCAGCAGCATTGCCCCGGGCCTCCTCCCCGTTAAAGACTGTGGAGAGGAGGAGCCTAGAGAGCCCTAGCTGAGGCTGTCAAACCCTCGGCGTGGGCAGCTGGCAGGTTGACCCCTGACCCCGGCTTTTTGCCTTGAGGGGAGGCTGTGTGGTTCGTTCGCTGGTGTGACAGCGCAGGGCAAGGAGAAGGTGAGAAGACGCAGGGAGGCAGCGTGGGCCGCAGTCACACTTCTGCTACACCCACATCTGTGAGCTTCTCCACAAAGAGGAGAAAGAAGACAAGGCTAGGGTTGGGCCTTCCCCTTGGCTTTTTTTTTTTTTTTTTTTTTTTTTGAGATGGAGTCTCTCTGTCGCCCAGGCTGGAGTGCAGTGGCGCCATCTCGGCTCGCTGCCAGCTCTACCTCCCGGGTTCACGCCATTCTCCTGCCTCAGCCTCCCAAGTAGCTGGGACTACAGGCGCCTGCCACCACACCCAGCTAATTTTTTGTATTTTTAGTAGAGACGGGGTTTCACCGTGTTAGCCAGGATGGTCTCAATCTCCTGACCTCGTGATCTGCCCGCCTCCGTCTCCTAAAGTGCTGGGATTACAGTCATAAGCCACTGTGCCTGGCCAGGATTTTTTTTTTTTAAGATTGCATGTTGTTCTGTTGCCCAGGCTGAGGGCAGTGGCACCATCACTGCTTACTGCAGCCTTGACCTCCTGGGCTCAAATGATCCTCCCAATTCAGCCTCCCAAGTAGCTGGAACTACAGGCGCACACCATCACACGCAGGTAATTTTTAATTTTTTTAATTTATTTTTATTATTTTTGAGATGGAGTCTCACTCTGTTGCCCAGGCTGGAGTGCAGCAGCATGATCTTGGCTCACTGCAACCTCCACCTCCTAGGTTCACGCAATTCTTCCTCAGCCTCGCAAGTAGCTGGGATTACAGGCACCTGCCGCCACGCCTGGCTAATTTTTGTATTTTTAGTAGTGACGGGGTTTCACCATGTTGGCCAGGCTGGTCTCAAACTCCTGACCTCAAGTGATCCACCCGCCTCAGCCTCCAAAATTGCTGGGATTACAGACATGAGCCACCGCACCCAGCCAATTTTCTTTTTTTTTTTTTTTGTGGAGATGGGGTCTCATGACGTTGCCCAGGCTGGTCTCAAACAGCTGGCTCAAACAATCCTCCCATCTTGGCCTCTTAAAGCACTGGGATTACATGAGTGAGGCACCACACCTGGCCAAGAATTTCCTTAAAGCCTATGAAGTGGTGAGCCTTTCATTTCATGTGGAAGGTTCTGGTGGCTGCAGGATGGCCTGAAATGAGAGAGCAAGTGATCCTTTAGAGAAATGGTTTCCTTTTATCCAGTCTGAAGCTGATGGGGGTGAAATCTGGAGTGGCAGAAGTAAGGCTGGAAAGGAGGAGCTAGATCGGAGGAGAAACATCAGCAGGACTTGGCTGAAATGTGTTGGGTTTGTTCATTCGTTTATTTACTCAGCAGATACACAGGGAGTGCTCGCTGTGTGCTTGGCACTGTGGTCAAGGAACTGAGTATGCAACAAAGAAGAGAACACATACAGTCCTTGCTCTGTGCCACTCACAGTTTGGCACAGGTCCGGAGAGGAAGAGGAGGGCTCCAAGGTGTGCTCAAGGTTCCACTGGGACAGTGGTGTCCTCCCCAAACCAATGACCAATTAGTGAGGGGTGCAGTCATGCCCGTGGGCCTTCAACAGCATTTTACTGAAATAAAACAGAAAATATCAGAGTGCTTTGGATGTCATAAGGGAAAGAACACTGCAGAAATTTTCTTTCTGTTATATATGTGCAGGTCTATATTGGATCAGTATGTGCAATGTACTTCTTATTGAAGGGCAGGTAAAGAAAGAAAAAAAACCTTGTATGGGGCTGAGCGTAGTGGCTCACATCTGTAATTCCCGCACTTTGTAAGGCTGAGGCAGGACTGCTTAAACCAGGAGTTCAAGACTAGCCTGGGCAACATAGCAGGACCTCATCTCTACAAAAAAAAAAATAATAAAAATTAGCCAGATGTGGTAATGCACACCTGTAGTCCCAGCTACTTGGGAGGCTGAGGCAGGATGATCACTTGAGCCCAGGGGTCAAGGGTGCAATGAGCCATGATCATACCACTGCATTTGGCCTGGGCAACAGAGCAAGACCCTCTCTCAAAAAAAAAAAAAATCTAAAAGAGAATGGGTAAATCAGGCATAGTGGTGCATGCCTGTAGTCCCAGCTACTCCACAGGCTGAGGCGGGAGGATCACTTGAGTCCAGGAGTTTGAGGTGGTAGGGTGCAATAATCGTGACTATAAATAGCCACGGCACTTTAGCCTGGGCAACATGACGAAACCCTGTCTCTATAAAAAAATAAAGAAATTAGCCTGGAGTGGTGGTGCATGCCTGTGTTCCCAGCTATTCCAGAAGCTGAAGTGGGAGGACTGCTTGAGCCCAGGAGGTGGAGATTGCTGTGGGCCCAGATCGTGCCACTGCAGGGGGCTACAGGAGTCTAAAAGGGAGGGGACACAATTTCCCCAAATCTCCAATGTTGAGGAGTTCTGCCTACACTCCTTGCCCCAGGATGCCCCCAGCACCAAGGCCAAGAGGGTGTCTTGGCCCTCAGCACTGGGGTAGAACATCTGTACACAGAACCAGGCCACAGGAGAAGGCATACACAGAGCCCATGAGCACCAGCCCCTCTGAGCTGCGTCCAGCCCCCATCTCCATCCTCTGTTCTCTGGGACTACAAATCCAGGCCTGACCTGGTTCTATCCCTACCTGCAGAGACAGAAGACAGAAGGAGACAACCCCTGAGAAGCCTTTCCCCAGGGCCTGATTCCCCCTCCCACTGTAAGATCTCTCAGCCCGCACTTTGGGAGGCCGAGGTGGGCGGATCACGAGGTCAGGAAATCGAGACCATCCTGGCTAACAGGGTGAAACCCCGTTTCTACTAAAAATACAAAAAAAAAAAAATTAGCCGGGCGTGGTGGCGGGCGCCTGTAGTCCCAGCTACTCGGGAGGCTGAGGCAGGAGAGTGGCGTGAACCTGGGAGGCGGAGCTTGCAGTGAGCCGAGATCGCGCCACTGCACTGCATCCTGGGCAACAGCCAGACTCCATCTCAAAAAAAAAAAAAAAAAAAAAAACCTCTCAGCCCTGGATCAGGTCCCCTCTCCAGGAAAGGTGACAGAGTGGAGTCTAAATGACACTGCCCTAGGGCCCCGCTGGGGTGGAAAACAGACCCAGACAGCGCCCCCAGCCCTCCCTCCCCAGGGAGGAGTGAAGGGCATAACAGACAGCGGAGGACACCGGGACAGGAAGGAGGGGCCAGCCGCTCTCAAACTAAGTCTAAACCACGGCGGTGAGGAAGTGTGGTCCCAAATCCAGCCCCCTCCCGGCCGAGCTCACAGAGCTCAGGGCTGGAACTCGGAACCCTGGCCCGACGCAGGCGGCAGCACCGAAGGGAACTTGAGCCCCGGCCCCCTCAGGGGACCCACGACCGGGGCGCAGCTTTGCTGGCAGACGCCGCAATACTGCGCAGCCGCGGCCCCGCAAGCAGAAACAGGGCTGGGTCTGAGGCCTACGTGGAGCTGGGGCCCGACGGCTCACGGAAGGCAGCGGGGGGCACTGGGCGCCCCGGATCCGAGCCTCCCGGGCGGCAGGCCCTCCCAGCTGTGCGGCGCCCGGATCCCCACAAAGGCACCCCAAGCGCGGACGGCGGGACGGGCGACAGCACCAGGGTGGTGTCCCAGGCTTCCCCACCGCCGCGGACCAACTCGGCCCCGGCCCGGGCGGGGCTTCCGGAGAGATTTATCCCCCTTCCCTCTAACCTTCCTGGGGCTCCGGCTCAGGCTGGACAACGGCTCGGAGACCCAGTCCCCCTCAAGTGTTGACCCCCCCACCATCTAGAACCAGCCAACCCACCAAACCACCTCTCCCAAGCCGGGCCTCTTCCCGGCGTCCGCCGCTGACCTGATCAGAGCCGCTCTGCCGGCCCGAGGGAGCTGAGAAGGGGCTTGGGAATGGGGTCTTGAGGAGGGGCTGGCCGGAATGTGCAGCACTAGCCCAGCTGGAGCGGGCGGCGCGGGCGCGCCTGTCCCCCAGCCCACCCAACTCCCGGCCCGCGCGGCCCCCGGCACACCATAGAGACGTGGTCCTCCGCCGGCCTAGAGCGTCTCTCCAGAGCGTGTGCAGGAGCGAGACGTCATTTTGCGTCGCCTCGGGCAGGGTAGCCAGCGGCTGCATCTGAGGCGGACGCCGCAGTGTAGGGCACACCCTGAGGGTAGCGAGAGACGTGACAGGACCGAGCAGCTGGGGGCTGCAGCCTGCTCTGTCCCCACCGATCCCAGAGAGAGGCTGTGAGTCTGGATCTGGGCGTTCGCACCCTGAGAGAGGGGGTCAAAGCTCCCCTGCGGCCCCGAGGAAGAAGAGCAAGGTTGAGGACAGCCTCGGGTCACCAGAGTAGTTTGGAGGCAGGCCTGCAGGCGCGTCCCCGCTCCTCAGCTCCAAGCTGACGTATCTACACCTGCCGGCGGGCATTAAGATGGCTGGTTATGCCACTACTCCCAGCCCCATGCAGACCCTTCAGGAGGAAGCGGTGTGTGCCATCTGCTTGGATTACTTCAAGGACCCCGTGTCCATCAGCTGTGGGCACAACTTCTGCCGAGGGTGTGTGACCCAGCTGTGGAGTAAGGAGGACGAGGAGGACCAGAACGAGGAGGAAGATGAATGGGAGGAGGAGGAGGACGAGGAAGCGGTGGGGGCCATGGATGGATGGGACGGCTCCATTCGAGAGGTGTTGTATCGGGGGAATGCTGACGAAGAGTTGTTCCAAGACCAAGATGACGATGAACTCTGGCTCGGTGACAGTGGTATAACTAATTGGGACAACGTAGACTATATGTGGGACGAGGAGGAAGAAGAAGAAGAGGAAGATCAGGACTATTACCTAGGAGGCTTGAGACCTGACCTGAGAATTGATGTCTACCGAGAAGAAGAAATACTGGAAGCATACGATGAGGACGAAGATGAAGAGCTGTATCCTGACATCCACCCGCCTCCTTCCTTGCCCCTTCCAGGGCAGTTCACCTGCCCCCAGTGCCGAAAGAGCTTTACACGTCGCAGCTTTCGTCCCAACTTGCAGCTGGCCAACATGGTCCAGATAATTCGCCAGATGTGCCCCACTCCTTATCGGGGAAACCGGAGTAATGATCAGGGCATGTGCTTTAAACACCAGGAAGCCCTGAAACTCTTCTGTGAGGTGGACAAAGAGGCCATCTGTGTGGTGTGCCGAGAATCCAGGAGCCACAAACAGCACAGCGTGCTGCCTTTGGAGGAGGTGGTGCAGGAGTACCAGGTGAGAGAAATGAGGGAATGTGGGGGGATGAAGGGAGTGGAAAGGTAACTAGGAGAGCTGAGGAATGAGTAGCATTCCTTTCCCACCTCCTCAGGTACTTAGTTGCTAAACTTCTCTTTATTTGATGAGGGAGACACGGTGGAGAGAGATGGTCATATGGGTAAAAAAGGAGACACAAAACCATGAAGATTGGGGCAGATTGGCTTCCCCAGAGGAAGCTGAACAGATAATATGACGGTCACTGGAAGCGGACCACTACTGCTAATACTGGCAGTCTACCTAAGTGTAAGGGACGTGAGTAACAGATACCCAGTACTTCATTTCTCCCTAATGTGAGTCCTTGACCAATTCCCTGGGACAGGTACAGATAGGAATAGAAAGCCACAGTACTTGGAGATAATAGACATTTGGGACCTCAGCACAAGCAGTGTCAAAATAGATGTATTGGTAGACAGAAATGCCAGATGTGAGTCCTAAACTACTGATAGCAATTGGCCACACCCCCCCTCTGAAAGTCTGGGATTGCATCTCTACCTTCAGTGGGGTCCGTTTTCCTTCTAGAGAAAGGCAAAGCATATAAGCATCTTTGATGGATCAGAATGTGCCTCATATCCTGATCACTTTTCTTTCCTGGTATTTTATCATAGTGGAAGGAGTGCGGGATTTAGGATCAGATGACCTGGCTCTGCCACTTACTGTCTAGTCTTGGGCAGGTGTCAACCTCCTTGAGCTTCACTTTTTCCCTAGGATTGTAAGGATTAAAAGAGATCATATATGTTAACCATAAAGCACTAAACAAATGTTTGCTGTTTTATTTGGCTTTCTTGTAACTTGTCTTCCCTTGTTTGGGTGCTGATATGGTTAATGCCTTGCTTTCTAGTCTTGACTTCTAAGCATTAGATAATTGTCTCAATGACAATGAGCATGAGTACCATCTTCCTTACCAAAAGTCTAGGTAGATTTGACTCCTAGCAGTGCCCAAACGAAGGAGAGGTTGTCTTCAGGCCCATAAAGGTTGACCTGGATATGCAGCAGCCGCTGCTCACGTCTTAGTAGTGCTTTACAGTTTATAAAATATATTTCCTCGTGTTCTCCTATAGCAGTGGTTTTCAAATTGTTTTTTGACCAATTAGTGTGTCTTAAAATAAATGGGTCATGCCTAGCATTATCTCAAAATGAAGTAAGAGAAAATATTAGAACACATGGAACATAGTAAGGGTAAGTACTGCTTTATGAAACTTTTAAGTTATATATATATACATGTATATACTTCATCTAAAAATATATTGCTTTCTTTGAGTTGCAGTCAAAACACAAACACAGAGCACTGTCCTACAGGCTTCATGTATTAGATATTATTATCACCCCCCTGCCCCCATTTTATAGCAAATATTGGGAAGTGCACAGTTAAGGCACAAATCTAACCATAAGTCACTGCTACCTCTGTTACATTAACCTGACTTGAAGGACAAATCCTAGTACCATGTTTTCACCCAAGGTGATAACTAAAGTATCCCATGGAAAAAACTTATGTCCTATGCTTCTGGGTTTTAGTATACTGAAGCTGAGGAAAAGAGAGAACCTTCCATTTCTCTTCTAACTTTTTTTTTTGAGACGGTATCTTGCTCTGTTGCCCAGGCAGAAGTGCAATGGCATGATCTCGGCTCACTGCAACCTCCGTTTCCCGGGTTCAAGCGATCCTCCTGCCTCAGCACCCCTAGTAGTTGCGATTACAGGCACATGCCACCATGCCCAGCTAATTTTGCATTTTTAGTAGAGATGGGGTTTCACCATGTTGGCCAGGCTGGTCTTGAACTCCTGACCTCAGGAGATCCACCACCTGGGCCTCCCAAAGTGCTGGGATTACAGGCATGAGCCACTGTGCCCAGCCTTCCTCAGCTAACTTTTATCATCATCCCCTTCCCCCATTTTATAGTAAATATTGTTAAGTGCACAGTTAAGACACAAATCTTTTTTTATTTTTATTTATTTATTTATTTACTTATTTATTTGAGCTGGAGTCTCGCTCTGTCATCAGGCTAGAGTGCAGTGGTGCGATCTCGGCTCACTGCAACCTACGCCTCCCGAGTTCAAGCGATTTTCCTGCCTCAGCCTCCCAAGTAGCTGGGAATACAGGTGCGCACCACCATGCCCAGCTAATTTTTGCATTTTTAGTGTAGACGGGGTTTCACCATGTTGGCCAGGATGGTCTCAATCTCTTGACCTCCTGATCCCCCCGCCTCGGCCTCCCAAAGTGCTGGGATTACAGATGTGAGCCACCATGCCTGGGTGTCTCTTTCATTCTTTAGGCAGTTCATTGTCACTTCCTTCCATTGGTAAACATGTAAATTATAGTCGCATGATTTAGAATTTTACTGACCAAAGTCATAATAATAGTTAACAGTACAAGGAACTATTTTTGTATAATGGTTTATTTAATACAGTATACATTATCTTTCATATACTTTGTTACAATGTTAAAAAAACTTCATTTTTCATAATATAGGAAATAAAGTTGGAAACAACTCTGGTGGGAATACTTCAGATAGAGCAAGAAAGCATTCACAGCAAGGCCTATAATCAGTAAGATGTGTGAAAAGTTGGGTAGCCACAGGAGGTGTTCATTAAGGATATGATTCCATTTATATAGCTATTTCTATTGCATAACCAGGACAGTTTTATTGTTTTGAGGTCAATGTTCTTTTAAAATTTGATTTTCTGTAAGAAGAGGCTTTTTGGCCCAGAAAGCCTTACTTATTTTACATCTTCCAGTTTGTCCATCCCATGAGTTAGAGTTCGTCTTGACTCTGCAAGCTAGAATCAAAGAATTATGAAAGTAAGATCATTTAGATTTGACCAAGGGCACCATTAAATGGTGTCAGGTTTTAGGAAGCAGACGGGTGTATAAAAAGAAAATGAACAAAGATTTCACTTATTGGGGATCAGGCATAACTGGATGCCTGGATTGTCCTGCCACCCAGCTGCCACCAATAAAATCATTCATCACTCTGCAAGAGGGACCAGATGCTTCCATCATCAGTACTCCTTGTTTTTCTGTTATCTCCTTTGAGGTAGCTAAAAATGGCAGCCAAAAAAAAATGTTGAGGCTTTTCTCAAGTATATACTCATGTTATTTTGCAGAAGATAGGGTCAACTTCTTCAGTTGAGTTATCTGAAAGTGTTGGGCAGTGACACCATGCCAAACACTGTTAAATTCATGCCATTAAAAACAGTGGAGTGTTCTGCAAAGCCCGATTCTCTGCAGCTTTAAGACTGGACAGTATTGAAATATTCACAGGAATCTTCCAAGCCGTGAAAGCTTAATATTAAACAGCCCTTTTAATTGCAAAGGAGAAAAAAATGGAGACACTTGTGAAACCTTGCATTCTGAGTGCTGCCACAAATAAATTAAGGAATTCCAGAATTTCTTCATCTACTTCTGCAGTCTTAACTCTGAATTAATGACTGTATATATCAAACTTCAGATCTTAAAAAACATCAGCTCGCAAGAGGCTGAGGCAGGAGAATGACATGAACCTGGGAGGCGGAGCTTGCAGTAAGCCGAGACTGAGCCACTGCACTCCAGCCTGGGCAATAGAGCAAGACTCCATCTCAAAAAAAAAAAAAAATCGGCTCATCTTTTATTGCTGTTGGTTGAGATGAATCTACTGATGAAGAAAACTGTACTTTGCTTACATTCAGAATAAGGCTTTCAAAACTGTGGGTGTGCTGTTTTCGTGAGCCTTCTACTTGACCACCAAAGACAGTATTTTTGCAGCTGTATCAAATGAACCGAGTTGGAGGAAATTGTATAGGAGTATATCTTAATGGCACTACAGCAAACTGTGTTAAATTTGGGTTTTTGGCAAAGATTGAAGAAAACTGGTATTCAAGATGTACTGCAGCTGTCACCACCAAGCATGAACTTTCACTGATTACCCATAACCTACTGGAAATCTTCAGCCTTGCTGTCAGCATAGACCACTGTGAGAAACAGTACATTCCATTCCAGTTTGCCCTGCTTTTTGAAGATCTAAATGCCATTCCATGTTTTCTGTTACATATTGAAGTTTCTTGGTTGCCAAAGAAAAACGGATTCTGCTGAACTTGTGGACAGAACAACCCCAAGGTTGGAAGAACAATGAAAAATAATCTATACTTGAACATTTCAAAAGTTAAAATTTTCAACAGAGTTTTAACACACTGAAGCTTAAAATACATTGACACTGAAATGTCAATGGGCAAACACCAATTTCGCCGTTCATTATGAAATACATCAAACAAAACTTGCCAAAAATACAACCATAAAAATATAGCAAATGTATGTATGAGCAAACTAATGCTAAAAATGTCTAATTTTCTTGGCTAGTCTTTCAAGGACCAGATTCATGAGTGTTATTTGAAGGGAAAAAGTGAAATACTTGGAATTATTTTGAGTGATGTGCTCCTGAGCTTGTTCTTAAAATCTACCAGTGGTAGCTTTTGGAAAGAATGTGTTTCATACCGATGTGCAGGCCTCACTGGAAGAGCTTCAAGAGGAGTTTGTGAAACTCAAAGTCTAATGGTTTTGATTAGAAACTTCCAGGCAAATACTCCAGAGAAACTTGGGTGTAAAATGACTAAACAGATGAAAAGGCTTTATCCACTATTCCATTTGCTCCTTACACCTTAAAAAGCTTTTTTATTTTTTAATGTTTTGATATATCTAGCTTTGGGGAGAAAGCAGTGCAAGAGTGTTATTAAAAGCAGCTTGTGTTTTCTTGCACCTTTCACACCACCCAGGAAAGAAAAGTTCAGGCTTAACAGTGACATGGCTATCACATCATCTGAATAAATTTTTTCCTTCTAAAATTACTACTGCTTTCATTAATTTCAATCATGATACTTAATTTTGAAATTGTAAATGGAGGGGCAAATGTGAGATTTTCAGGTATATGAAAAGTAGAAGTGTGGGTTACAAAAACATTGAGGAAAAACATACAGCTCACCTGTTTATTGAATGTCTTCCCTATTAGGTTCAGCTGTTCACTGCTGTATCACAAGTCAGACTGTTTAAACTTGTTCCTCTACTTCTGTGGCTGTACCCTGGATCTCATCTTCAGATTGGCTACACATCTGAAATCAACTCCCATTGCACTATGACCTTAGCTCTTAGCCTTCCAATACACTTAAGCACACTCCAATTACACCTGCCCTTCAGCTTTAGGGAGCCCACTGTTTCACTGACTCCATATTTTTTCCTTCCCAATTTATCAGACATTTAACAGCCTTACTATCCTACTGAGCCTAGACTGCATGATTCATTTTGGCATAAAGACCTGATACAGGCCGGGCGCGGTGGCTCACGCCTGTAATCCCAGCACTTTGGGAGGCCAAGGCGGGTGGATCACGAGGTCAGGAGATCGAGACCATCCTGGCTAACACAGTGAAACCCCGTCTCTACTAAAAACACAAAAAATTAGCCAGGCATGGTGACGTGCACCTGTAGTCCCAGCTATTCAGGAGGCCTGGGCAGGAGAATCACTTGAACCCGGGAGGCGGAGGTTGCAGTGAGCCGAAATCGCCGTCACTGCACTCCAGCCTGGGCGACAGAGCGAGACTCTGTCTGCGGGGGAAACAACAACAACAACAACAAACCTGATTCATGTTGTCATCTAAACCGGATTGATTGATTGATTGATTTCTTTTTCTTTCTCTCTCTCTCTCTCTGTTTGACAGAGTCTCGCTCTGTTGCCCAGGCTGGAGTGTGGTGGCACGATCTCGGCTCACTGCCAGCTCCGCCTCCTGGATTCATGCCATTCTCCTGCCTCAGCCTGCCGAGTAGCTGGGACTACAGGCGCCCGCCACCAAGCCTGGCTAATTTTTTGTATTTTTAGTAGAGACAGGGTTTCACCGTGTTAGTCAGGATGGTCTCGATCTCCTGACCCCGTGATCTGCCCGCCTCGGCCTCCCAAAGTGCTGGGATTACAGGCGTGAGCCACCGCGCCCGGCCTCTTTCTTTCTTTCAATGCTTTTGTTTTTGTTTTGTTTGAGCCAGGGTCTCACTCTGTTGCCCAGACTGGAGTGCAGTAGTGCAATCACAGCTCACTCACTTCCTACGTTCAAGTGATGCTCCCACGTCAGCCTTCTGTGTAACAAGGACTATAGTGCAGCTAATTTATTTTTATTTTTTGTGGAGATCTCCCTACATTGCCCAGGCTGGTCTTGAACTCCTGGTGGGCTCAAGTGATCCTCCTGCCTTGGCCTCCCAAAATGCTGGGATTACAGTCATGAGCCACCACACCCAGCCTAGACCAGGATTTCTCAACCTCGACCCTATTGACATTTTGAGTGAGATAATTCTTTGTTGTGGGCAGCTGTCCTATGCATTATAGGATACTTAGTAGCATCTCTGGACTCTACCCACTACATGCAGGTAGTACCCCTCCACTAGTTGTGACAACCACAAATGTCTCTAGACATTACCAAATGTCCCATAAGCAGACATTGCAAAATCATCCCCAGTTGAGAACCACTGATGTAGTCAGGGAAAGTGGTCATGTCCACATATCATCCTCTTGTAGGCACTATAGCCGGTGCCTGGCATAGGTGTTCAAAAGTGGAACACCTACTCTTGAGAGGAAGAATAGGCTTGCCTAGCTAGCACTTTATTAAAAGTACCCTGAGGGCCAGGCACGGTGGCTCATGCCTGTAATCCCAGCACTTTGGGAGGCCGAGGTAGGCAGATCACCTGAGGTCGGGAGTTCCAGACCAGCCTGACCAACATGGAGAAACCCTGTCTCTGCTAAAAATACAAAATTAGCCAGGCATGGTGGCGCATGCCTGTCATCCCAGCTACTCAGGAGGCTGAGGCAGGAGAATCACTTGAACCTGGGAGGAGGAGGTTGCAGTGAGCCGAGATCGCACCATTGCACTCCAGCCTGGGCAACAAGAATGAAACTCCATCTCAAAAAAAAAAAAAAAAAGTACCCTGAGTATCAGTGGATTAGTGGATATGACACCCACTACTCCCTGCTCTTGGAGTGGGGTAGCAAAGTCAACAAACCTTTTCTAAACATTACCGCTGCTTATGTCACTTGGATTTGGGAGAACAAGAACCGTGACAGATAAACAGTTTACAAAATCAAGCTCTGGAGATTTTGAGTAATAACAATCACTTCAGCTACTCAGTTCCAGCAGAGCAGTAGGGATGTCATTTTTTGTTTTCAGGTATTACGCAGAACCACTGAGTCCACAGTGGAGGTGGCCCTGGTAATATAACATCAGTCCCTAAAGTACTTTCTTAAAACCTAAGGCTCTTGCCATTGACCATCAACCCCTGGCCTCTATGCCATGCCTCCTGAAACTCCTATAAGACTTGTAGATTCTATGCTGCTTCCTACCCCCAATTCCTAACTCCTCTGAAAATTATCCTGTAACAGTGAAGTTATTGCAAATATTTGCTGGCTGGTAAAATGGGGTTATAAGAAAGGAAGCTAAAGACGCTAGTCCTCCACATTCAAGCTAATAGAACTTCATGTAACAATGGAAGTATTCTGTATCTGCTGTCTAATACAGTAGATACTACTAGCTACATATGACTTGAGCTCTTGAAATGTGGCTAGTGCACCTCATGAACTCAATTTTTAAGATAGTATTTAATTTAATTTTAATTAGCCACATGTAGCTAGTGGCTATCAAATCCTATTTAACAGCACAGTTCTGTACAACCAAAGTCTAGTTCTTCCTGGGGCCCTTGGGAGTAGCAAGTCCAAGGGGGAGGATAAAAACAGAAATGAAACAATTTTCTTTTTCCAGCTGGGAGCGGTAGGCTGTAAGGTAATATTTTTAGACATAAAAGGAGAAAATATTTTATTTTTAA
This sequence comes from Homo sapiens, assembly GCF_000001405.40. NCBI lineage: Eukaryota > Metazoa > Chordata > Mammalia > Primates > Hominidae > Homo > Homo sapiens. The sequence continues at coordinate 181,252,139 of NC_000005.10, read as the reverse complement.
AATCTGACCAAAATGATCTTGAGCCACCTATCACTTCTGATACACGTGGATCACACGGGTGACGAGACAGGAGAAAACTAGGGGAAACAAGTTAGAAAATAAACTGTATTACCTTCTCCTATCAAAAAAGGTCTGGGGCTAGAGCTGGAGCCTCAAAATAGGAGGGATAATAAATATAGGGTTTTACTTTGTGCCTGACTTTTTGAAAATGGGATGGGGGGCAAAACCTAGTATTGAAGCAGGTAAGTGGGTTCTTTCCGTGTTACAGCAGATGAGGGTGATGAGGAGCTCTTGGAGTCCTGGAAGAGAGAGCAGCCTGTGCTGACAGAGTTAATGAGAGGACAGATCTAGGAGTAACAGGGTCTGAGGAGAGGAGATGGCCTCCCAGACCATGAGAACTAACAGTTGTGATAAATTTAATCATAGTCTGTCCAAACCAGAGAGTCCTCAAGTGTGGTATGAGAATCCTGGGTGTGGGGCAGTGAGCTCATTTCTGCTCTTGAGAAGTGTAGGAGATGCAGCAAGGTTCCTGCTATCAGGAGACCTGCAAAGATGGAAGGAAACGTTCCTCTAAGTTATTACTTGTCTCACCTCCTCCCTCCCCCAAAGGAAGGGGAAAGATAGACACCTCGGGGATTTGAATTAGAAATAGCCCTTTGGAGGGTTTTTTTGTTTGTTTGTTGTTGTTATTGTTGTTTTCCATTTTTTTTACACAGCTCCAAACAGCCAACTGAAATAAAAATAGCCTTTAAGAACAAGGAGGCTTATCCTCTATAGCGATTCCCCCTGCTGAGGTTTGTGCTTAGGCCTTCCTAGCTTTCTCGTCTCATCTTTTTTCTTTTTTTTTTTGAGTTTTGCCCTTGTCGCCCAGGCTCTGGAGTGCAGTGACACGACCTCGGCTCACTGCAACCTCCACCTCCCAGGTTCAAGCAGTTCTCCTGCCTCAGCCTCCAGGGTAGCTGGGATTACAAGCATGTGCTACCACGCCCAGCTAATTTTTTTATATTTAAAAAAATTAAAATGTAATTTTAATTGTTGGCCAGGCTGGTCTCGAACTCCTGACCTCAGGTGATCTGTCCACCTCGGCCTCCCAAAGTGCTGGGATTATAGGCAGGAGCCACCACGCCCAGCCATCTCCCCTCATCTTAAGGGACCGAGATCCCAACTTAGAGCCCTTTGGTTGACAATTCCAGCTGGCAGTAAGCAGAGTCCTACAAAGATAAGGAGGGATCCAGGTGGCCTGGAGAGGATCCATGGAGCTCACATCCCCTTTTTCTCTGACATTTCTTAGGCACATGGAATCCCTTCTACTCCTACAGCAAAGGATGTGATTTCTCCGCAGGCCCTGGCCATTTAGCCTTAGTGTGAGCAGAGAGGACTGCCCTTCATCCCTCATACAAATTTGAGCTAGCCAGCCCCAGGGTTCCATTCTGACCTTTTTCGCACTCTGGTTTATATGACGTCCTCTCTCCAGTAGAAAGCTGAGAAAATGAAACTTGGGTCATCTTTTGTTTCTCTCTACCATCTAATGCTACTTTAAATCCTTTGACAAGGAGGCTAGAAGCTTGACTTCTCCCTGCATTTCTTTTTTTTTTTCTTTTTTTGAGATGCAGTCTCCCTCTGTTGCCCAGGCTGGAGTGCGGTGACGCAATCTCGGCTCACTGCAACCTCTGCCTCCTGGGTTCAAGTGATTCTCCTGCCTCAGCCTCCCAAGTAGCTGGGATTACAAGCATGCACCACCACGCCCAGCTAATTTTTGTATTTTTAGGAGAGACAGGGTTTTGCCATGCTGGTCAGGCTGGTCTTGAACTCCTGACCTCAAGTGACCCACCTGCCTTGGCCTCCCAAAGTGCTGGAATTACAGGCATGAACCACCGCGCCCGGCCATCCCTGCATTTATTATAGTCCTGTCTGGACCATCCCCTTTCCACAGCCTCTGACTCTGTATCTGCCAAAGCACCCAGGCCTAGCCCACAGTCCATCTCCCAAGGAAGCCCCAACAGACAACAGAATGCTTTCTGGGGGACTGCTAGACGTCAGACTTCTGCCTAAAATTTATGCTGAATCTTTATCAGGAAAATAAACATTTTTTTAAAAAGTTAATGACCAGGCTGGCCAACATGGTGACACCCTGTCTCTACCAAAAAAGACAAAAATTAGCCAGGCATGTAGTCCCAGCTACTCGGGAGACTGAGGTGGGAGAATTGTCTGAACCCAGGAGGCGAAGGGTGCTGTGAGCCAAAATGGCACCACTGCACTCCAGCCTGGGTGACAGAGTGAGACGCTGTCTCAAAAAAAAAAAAAAAAAAAAACTGCAAGTGATCTCTGATCTCTTTGTAAGATTTGTTCCAGGAACTGATTTAATTTCACAGCCGACCTCACTAAGAGTGGGACAGCACCTATACTTGTACTCCTGTTTCCTGGTCTCCAAACTTTTTGTGCTTAATTTTTTTTTTTTCTTTTTGAGACAGGATCTTACCCTGTCACCCAGGCTGGAGTGTAGTGATGTGATCATAGCTCACTGCGGCCTCCAACTTCTGGGCTCAAGCGATCCTCCTGCATCAGCCTCCTAAGTAGCTGGGACTACAAGCGTGCACCACCATGCCTGGCTAAAATTTTTAAAAATTTTATAGCGATGGGGTCTCACTGTGTTGGTCTTGAACACCTGAGTTCAAGTGATCCTCCCACCTCAGCCTCCCAAACTGCTGGGATTACAGGTGTGAACCATGCTCAACCAAAGAGCTCCTATATACAGAGGCCAATTCTAGACACTGGAGTGAAGGAAGTAGTGTAGGGATGAGAGAGACCTCTTAGTCATAAGGTCTTTAGTAAGTACTCAGTCCCTCCTTTAGTGCCACTTCGTAGGAATCTTGCACCACCACCCCCAGCTAAATTTAGGGTCCCCCTAGAGACCTTCCTGTACAGCATCTCAGCCTTTGGCTTGACTCATTTGTCTTGAATACTGCAGTGGCTTCTTAACTCTTCTTGTCTCTAGTTTTACTCCTCCAACCTAGCCTGCACCGTGACAATAAGTGCGTTTTTAGCAGGTAGCAATAAAAACTTGTCCTAAAAAAAGAAGCAGTCTAGGCAGGACAGTGCTGAGATCAGACTTTTTTTGTTGTTGTTGAGATGGAGTCTCACTCTTATCACCCAGGCTGCAGTGCAGTGGCATGATCTCTGCTCACTACAACCTCCACCTCCCCGGTTCAAGCAATTCTCCTGCCTCAGCCTCCCGAGTAGCTGGGACTACAGGCACGTGCCACCAGGCCCAGCTAATTTTTTGTATTTTTAGTAGAGACGGGTTTCACCGTGTTAGCCAGGATGGTCTGGAACTCCTGACCTCGTGATCTGCCTGCCTTGGCCTTCCGAAGTACTGGGATTACAGGCGTGAGCCACTGCGCCTGGCCGAGATCAGACTCTTAAAGAAACTACTCTAGGCCTGGCCGAGATCAGACTCTTAAAGAAACTACTCTAGGCCTGGCCGAGATCAGACTCTTAAAGAAACTACTCTAGGCTTCAGGACAAAATCCAGATCCCTTAGTAGCAAGGCCTTCCAAACTAGGGCTCCTTGACCCTCAGGGGTTTCACTCCCTCCTAAGGAGCCCTCAAAGCTATCCCTACCTTACCTCTGCACCTACGCTGATCCCTCTGCCTGGAACGCCCTTCCTTTAACTACTTGACCTTTACTTTTCAACCCATGAGGCTGGCCACCAAAATTAGAATCTTCCACAGGCCAAAGCCTCCACTGGGTGGTGAGAATGCAACACTTAGCAGAAACAGAGCAGTCCTTGTGAGGAGACACCTGAGGGATAAGAAGAACCAGTATACACTACACCACCGCTGTGAAAGCATGAAACAAATGTGACCTAGACCTGAGGGTCCCAGAGGCTTCCCTGAACAGGCAACCTAAGCTGAGACCCCAAGAAAGCTTAGATTGAACCGAGAGGGTTGGGGAGGGATGTGATGGGCCTTCCAGGCAGAACAATGTGTGTTCTGTGTGGGAGAGAACTAATGAGTTTGGAGGAAGAGCGGAGGCCCAGTCTGGCCACAAACACAAGAGTATGGGACACGCCAGAGGAAGCCACACGGATTTTGCAGGGAGACAGTAAGGATTTTGCTCATCATCTTAAAGTACGTAAAGTACGTGGGAAAGCCTCCTGCACAGAGTTTTAGCTGGCAGTCAGCAGGCCCTCTGGTCCTGGCCACGCACCTTTCCCTCAGCCTCGCCTCAGCATTCAAGGGAAAACCTGCCACCGCGCAAGCCCTCCAGGGTCTGGAATGCTGGCAGGAGGGGATGGATGCCTCTGCTCCTGGAGAAAAGGGCTCTGGCAGGGAAGCCTGAGGGGCTGGTTCCAACTGTACAGGTCCTGTGGACTCCTCAGAAAAGGAATGGTGAGATGGATTTTCATAGGAGAGCCTCTCCAATTTCTCCTTGGGACTTTTTTTTTTTTTTTTTTGAGACGGAGTCTCTCTCTGTCGCCCAGGCTGGAGTGCAGTGGCGCCATCTCGGCTCACTGCAAGCTCCGCCTCCCGGGTTCACGCCATTCTCCTGCCTCAGCCTCCCGAGTAGCTGGGACTACAGGCGCCCGCCACCACGCCCTAATTTTTTGTATTTTTAGTAGAGACGGGGTTTCACCGTGTTAGCCAGGATGGTCTCGATCTCCTGACCTCGTGATCCGCCCGCCTCGGCCTCCCAAAGTGCTGGGATTACAGGCGTGAGCCACCGTGCCCGGCCTCTCCTTGGGACTCTTACCTTGTATGGAATGGAAGTGGTGCCTCTGGGGTCCCAGACACGGGAGAGAGGAAGCAGCCCAGGGGCTGGGAGAAGTGGTGAGACCCAGAAGAACGGTGGACCCAGTCAGGAAGGGTCCTGCCAGCAGGGCGTGGGCCAGCCTCGGGGTCTTCCCCAAAAGGCAGGTAGGGGCCTCCAGCAAGCTTCCCACCTCCGTGAGGCTGGAGAAGAGGCCCCCTGGATGAGAAGGAAGAGGCCGGCAGGTCCGGCGGGCGCAGGCACAGGTAGACTTCTGGTGGGAAAAGCGTGACTCAGCCTCCTCCAGCGGCTGCAGGACGTCCCCCCGCTAGAAAGGGCCGGGCTCCCTTTGCTGACCCAGAGTCAACCCAGCGATTCCTCCCGGGGAGGCGGGGGGCCCCGGCCCCGGCCCAGAGCGCATGCCTATGCCGGGAGCTGGGCGAGGACAGGGCACAGCCACAGCTGGGTGCCCAACGGGAAAGGCGGCCGTTCCCCCTCAAGCTGCACCTGAAGGGGTCCCCAGGGTCGAGGCCACTTCTCCTTCGGCTCAGGGTTGACCTTCAGTGACCACTGTGGCCTGCGGGCATCCCCTGGGAGGGACGGAGGGGGATGGAGGAAAACTCCAAAGGGAAAGGCCGAATCCTGCAGGGTCTGGTCGTCGGAAAGCCAACCATACAGTCAGCCCTCCCTCTCCTCGGGCTGCCGTCGCCATCCGGGTCCACACGGGCTCTAAGACAAAACCCCAATTGCCCCCAAGGCCCCATAGGAGGGGCGCTGCCAGAATCGCCTATTTTTAGTGAAAGAGAACCGGGCCGGGAGACGGCGGCAGGGGGCCGGAGCATTCCCGAGGTCTCGGTCTGGGTGTCGCGAGGCAGGGAAAGAGGGCGGCCCCGGAGCGGAGCGGGAAAGGGGGCGGGGCAGGGTGGGGCCGGACGTGGCAACCTCCCGCTTCCGGGACAGTGACCCGCGGCGCGGCAAGGCCTTTCCCTTGGGCGTGGGTGGGGACCTGGACTCCCTGTGGAACGTTTAAGAAAAAGAGAACCGAATGAGGTTTCGCGAAAGGAAAAAAAATGTAACTGTGATCTAGTGCTGTTGACGGCCGCGAATGGAGAAACCCCGTGTTCTCGAGGACAAATTGGAACTCCTCGGCGTTTTAGGTCCTCAACCCGGGAACCCCTCGCACCGCGAATCTCAGTCCACAGCGGGAGGCGGGTGTGGTCGTTCACCTATTTGTGCCCGAGGGCTCAGGGAGGCGCTGGCATGACCCGAGTGGGGGGCAGCAAGCTGGTTAGCGGGAGGGTGAAGGCAGCGGTCTTCCACGACCACCACAATCACCTGGGTAGGGATTGAGTCCCGTATTGGAAAAGCGAAAGAACAGTCAGCTGGGGGTGCCAAGGAGGCAGGTGATGTATACAAACCTGGAGCCTTAGGATGGTCCACAGGCTGCGGAGGACCACAGCCAGGACAACGTCCCGGAAAGCCCAAGGGAGACTGCGGCGGAAGGCAGGGGAACCTGCAGAGGACCAGGAGAGCAAGCTGTTTCAGGGAGGGATCCTGGCCTTCCCTGCACACCTGGGCGTCTACAGCCTCCGGCAGCTCTGCCACCCTCCCTCGCCTGTCTTCTGCCTTTACGCAGGCTTTCTAGCAGACATTGCCAAGGTTCTTCTCCAGGCCTTCAAGGCCCTAGGTTAACTGCACCCTCCATTTCCCTGCTCTGTCCTCAGCCCCTCCACACTCCAGCTCAGTACGTTGGCACTAACTCTTCCCTCCGATTGAAATATTTTTCCCCCATTTGACTTCCCTCCACAGGAACATTATTCTCCCATATACCCGCAGGGCTCTCTCCGTGTCTCTGTTCCAATGTTCTCCCCTCTTCGCATACCGTAGGAAGTAAACTGCAAATAAAACAAACCAGGGTCCCCCCTCTGTCTTGTTCACAGCTGTGTCCCCAAGACCTAAAATAAGGCCTGGCACCCAAGAGGTGCTAAGTTTCACAACATTTACTCTGCCTTGTTCAGGGCGCTTTACATTTGCTTCTTCACTTTCCACACCACCATGTAATGTAGATACTAATATTATTTCCAATCTCATTTCACAGATGAGAAACGAAAGTTGATAGATGTCACAAATAGAAAAGTATATACTTAGGTATAATGCCCCCTTTATTTTGCATAGATGTTGGTGGCTGCTATCATCCTGATCTGTGCCCCTGTTTAAAACTACTTGAATAGACATGGTGCCAACACTGTCTCTTATAGTCAGAGATGGGTGAGAATGGGAGCCATTACTTATTTAAATTCCTGCGGTCGAGCGGAAGGCAGAAGGACAGTTAGGTATCCGTGTTCCACCGCTTCCCTGTCTGGGCACGTCCTTCAGGGCACAGTTGGACCCCCAGACCCCTGGGCTTTTGTGTACGCTGGCTGGGCCCAGAGAGAGCTTTCCACTAGATGTCCCCAGAAGTCAGAACCTTAAGGTCCTCCTTTGGGCATTTCCGTTTCTGCGAGAGCTTCCCGTGTTCTGGCCTAGGCAGGAACGGATTGGCAGTCTAGCAACACACAGGGCAATTTTTACTTTATTATTTTATTGTATGTATGTATTTATTTATTTGAGTCGGAGTCTCGCTCTGCTGCCCAGGCTGGAGTGCAGTGGCGCGATCTCGGTTCACTGCAACCTCCGCCTCTCAGGTTCAAGGGATTCTCCTGCCTCAGCCTCCCGAGTAACTGGGATTACAGGCACCCCCCACCACGCCTGGCTAATTTTAATTTTTTTTATTTATTTATTTGGAAAGAGGTTGCATCATGTTGGCCAGGCTAGTCTTGAACTCCTGACCTTAAGTGATCCACCCGCCTCGGCCTCTCAAAGTGGTAGGATTACAGGCATGAGCCACCGCGCCCGGGAAAAAGAGACCAATTCTTAGTTCATCCAGAGTAACCCTCTCCTGCCTTAGTCCAGCCTGGACTAAGTCCTTCCGGAGTTGGTGTGCATCAGAACAAAAACCTCGTGAGGGGAGAACACCCTCCGGAAGCACAGTTTTAAAGTTTATTTTTAACATTTTAATACTCTACTTTTTAAATTGCCCATCGTTACCCACGATAGTGAAATGAAAATTAAGCTCCCCTGGGGTTGCCCCGTCAACCCTCCCCGCACCAAGTGGAACAGGCGGAGCTCGAGCTATGCCACATAGGGGCGGGGAAGCAGCCCGGCGGTCCTCATGGGAATGTGCCGTACACTTCACCTCTTTCGCTTCTCGCTCTACATCATCCCTGAGAAGCCTTTTTAAACACTTGAATGTGCTTGTTTCAGAGTGTATTTGTAAAGTGCAGTCAGATTTTGTTGTACGGAAGACGGGACTGTGATGCCTTGCAATTTCCCTCTGCCTTTTGCATTACATGGCGCCGCCATCTTGAGCAGAAATGTATCATGGGGCTCGCCATTTTGCATGGTCGAGCGGGTATTTCCGGTTCCGGCGGGGGGCTTTTCTCTCTCTCTTTCACTGCAAGGCGGCGGCAGGAGAGGTTGTGGTGCTAGTTTCTCTAAGCCATCCAGTGCCATCCTCGTCGCTGCAGCGACACACGCTCTCGCCGCCGCCATGACTGAGCAGATGACCCTTCGTGGCACCCTCAAGGGCCACAACGGCTGGGTAACCCAGATCGCTACTACCCCGCAGTTCCCGGACATGATCCTCTCCGCCTCTCGAGGTACGGACTAAGGTAGATTTCAGGACCCGAGATTGCAGGGCTGGGGGATTCCGCGTGTCGTGTAGGGAATTCCGCGTGTGGTGTGGCAGGCCGGTGGCGCGCGAGTTGGCGGGGACTGACAGACTTCTCTGCCCCATTGTGAATTGGGGCGTGCGGACCCGAGCCTAGGCCTCAACCCGGGCGAACCACATTGCAGATGAGAACCTACGTGTACATCAGCTCGCAGCTGCTAGGAGGGTTGGAGAGTTGGAAACTTTTAAAATATCTTTTGCCTTCTCCTTCGTAGTGTGGCCGGGGGCCTACGGGCCGGGCGGGGCGGTGATGACCCCAACATGCCATCTGAGTGTCGGTGCTGAAATCCAGAGGCTGTTTCTGAGCTGCCGCCCGGCCCAAGGCTCGTGGGGAGGCAGGTGGACTCCAGAGGACCTCGTGGCTCAAGTGTCGGCCTACTTTTTCTGCCCCTGGTTCTCCCCGTCCCTATCCCTGTGTTCCTGACTGCGTTTAGACGCTTCTTGTGCTTCCGCTTTGCTGCTACACTGTTAAGAATTGTCTGACTTTTGAATCATGTCTGGCTGTTAATCGTAAAATTTGTTGAGTGGGACAGGTTTCAGTAAAAGCATCCAATCCTGTAGCGCCTGAAGTGGCTTTTCCAGCATTCATTACTACATTTCTGTCGGCCCTCAGAGGTAGGCATAGGAGGCCCCAGCTACTCTACAGCCACAAACTGCTGTGCATTTGGTTGCAGAGAAGACACAAAGTGGCTGTTGAGTTCGTCTGAGTTTCAGGAAAGGGTGTCTGTATTTCTGGCACCTAAATTAAGTTCTCAGGATACAGGCTGGGCGCGGTGGCTCACGCCTATAATCCCAGCACTTTGGAAGGCAGAGGCGAGTGGATCACTTGAGATCAGGAGTTAGAGACTAGCCTGGCCAATGGTGAAACCGCATCTCTAGTTAAAAAATTAGCCAGACGTGCTGGCAGGTGCCAGCTGGCCAAGTAATCCCAGCTACTTGGGAGGCTGAGGCGGGAGAATTGCTTGAACACGGGAGGTGGAGTTTGGAGTGAGCCGAGATCATGCCACTGCACTCCAGCCTGGGCGACAGAGCGAGACTCCATCTCAAGAAAAAAAAAAGTTATCAGGGTACAGTTTACCTCTACGTGCGTTTTTAGTCTGGAATAGAGCCACTCAGTCCTGGTCTGTAACTGCTCTTGTCTGTTGTTTCCATCCCTCCTTAAGCGTCCTTAGTTGTTGTTAACCCACTCATGACCTTGACACTTAGTGAATTATCCAGTGTGTTAAACGGGCTGCGGGTTCCTCACTGATTTTTCTTCTGTTTTACCTCCTTTAGATAAGACCATCATCATGTGGAAACTGACCAGGGATGAGACCAACTATGGAATTCCACAGCGTGCTCTGCGGGGTCACTCCCACTTTGTTAGTGATGTGGTTATCTCCTCAGATGGCCAGTTTGCCCTCTCAGGCTCCTGGGATGGAACCCTGCGCCTCTGGGATCTCACAACGCAAGTAGCTGCTCACTTAGCTCTGGGGCCTTGGGAAGAATCTGGGCAGAAGTGAGGTGGATGCAATTGGCTGGTTTCCCAGGGGAGATCCAGTCCATTTGGGAACTGGAAAGCAGAGCACACCTACAGAAGATGTTTGGCCTCCCTCACTTTAAATAAGTTACTCAGCATTGCTGAGGAGTGTGGCTGAACATTTTTGCCAGGTGCAAAAGTTCTGAGTGGGCAGCAGTTTGAACATGTTTTACCTTGAAAGCTCAGGTAATTGGCAGGTGGAATTAGAGGGTCCTGGTGATGACAGATGGCATTGTCAGCCAATCCCCAAGTGGGAGTGAGGACATGTCCTGCAATTCTGAAGGGATTCTCTGTCACTTGGCTCTTCTCTTTCATATACTCAGTCACTTGACTCTGTGATCAGAGCCAAATCCAGGGTTGTATGAGTGATGCAATGAGACAGAGACAAAGCCCAGGAAATGAGTCTGACCGTTGAATGAGAGTGTTTGCTAAGTCTGAGAATGACAAACTCCTCCCTCTCAGGGGCACCACCACGAGGCGATTTGTGGGCCATACCAAGGATGTGCTGAGTGTGGCCTTCTCCTCTGACAACCGGCAGATTGTCTCTGGATCTCGAGATAAAACCATCAAGCTATGGAATACCCTGGGTGTGTGCAAATACACTGTCCAGGTAAAGTGAGCCATCTCCAAGGATCTCTTCCACCCTCTTAAACTTTGCTTTTTTTTTTTTTTTTTGGCGACAGTCTCACTCTTGCCCAAGCTGGAGTGCAGTGGCGCAGTCTCGGCTCACTGCAACCTCTGCCTCCCGGGCTCAAGGGATTCTGGTGCCTCAGTCTCCCGAGTAGCTGGTACTACAGGTGCGCAGCCACCACGCCTAGCTAATTTTTTGTGTTTTAGTAGAGACAGGGTTTCACCATGTTGCCCAGGGTGGTCTCAAACTCCTGGGCTCAGGCGATTTGCCTGCCTCGCCCTCCCAAAGTGTTGGGATTACAGGCGTGAGCCCCCACCTGCCTATCTTTGCCTTTTTTTTTTTTTTTCTCGGAGACAGTTTCGCTTGTTCCCCAGGCTGAAGTACAATGGCGTGATCTCGGCTGACCACAACCTCCGCCTCCTGGGTTCAAGCAGTTCTCCTGCCTCAGCCTCCCAAGTAGCTGGGATTAGAGGCATGCGCCACCATGCCCGGTTTTGTATTTTTAGTAGAGACAGGGTTTCTCCATGTTGGTCAGGCTGGTCTTGAACTCCCAACCTCAGGTGATCTGCCCGCCTCAGCCTCCCAAAGTGCTGGGATTATAAGCGTGAGCCACCGTCCCCCGCTTTCTTTGCCTTTTTAAAGTCTTGTCTGGGCTGGGCTCACGCCTGTAATCCTAGCTCTCTGGTAGGCCAAGGTGGGAGGACTGCTTGAGGACAGGAGAGCAGCCTGGCCAACATAGTGAGACCCCATCTATTTAAACAAAATTTTATTTATTTTTTTTCTTTTTTGAGATGGATTCTGGGCTAGATCGCAGATTTGGGATCGCAGATTGGGGGCTGGATCGGGGATTTGGGGATGGGTGGGGGGCGGTGAAAAGGTGAAAGGGAGTTGCCGCAGCTCAGAAGCCGATGGTTGGGTGTCTGAGAAGATTACAGGCGTGTGCCATCATGCCCAGCTAATTTTTGTATTTTTAGTAGAGATGGGGTTTCACCATGTTGGCCAGGCTGGTCTCAAACTCCTGACCTCAGGTGATCCGCCCGCCTCAGCCTCCCAAACTGCTGTGATAACAGGCGTGAGTCACCGTGCCCGGCCTTATCACTACTATTTTGTTTTGTTTTGAGACAGTCTCATTCTGTCGCCCAGGCTGGAGTGCAGTAGTGCGATCTCGGCTCACTGCAAGCTCTGCTTCCCGGGTTCACGCCATTCTCCTGCCTCAGCCTCCCGAGTCGCTGGGACTACAGGCGCCTGCCATCAGGTCTGGCTAATTTTTTGTATTTTTAGTAGAGACAGGGTTTCACCATGTTAGCCAAGATGGTCTTGATCTCCTGACCTCATGATCCATCCACCTTGGCTTCCTAAAGTGCTGGGATTACAGGCGTGAGCCACCACACCAGGCCCTATTATTATTATTATATTTTTTTTGGAGATGAAGTTTCACTTGTTCGTTGCCCAGGCTGGAGTGCAATGGCACAATCTTGGCTCATTGCACCCTTCGCTTCCTGGGTTTAAGCAGTGTTCCTGCCTGAGCCTCCCCAGTAGCTGGGATTACAGGCACCCGCCGCCACACCTGGTTAATTTTTGTATTTTTGGTAGAGACAGGGTTTCACCATTTTGGCCAGGCTGGTCTCAAACTCCTGACCTCAGGTGATCCACTTACCTCGCCCTCCCTGGGATTAGAGGCGTGAGCTTCTGCGTCCAGCCACCATCTCTAAATTTTTAAAAAATTTTCTTGTCTGGAATCTAAAGGGATTCTATTGAGCTTAAAGGTTTGGGTTCTTGGTTTTTGAAAGGTGCTGCCAGCCATCATCCTACTGAGGGGTAGGGCTGGGAGGTCTAGCATTTCATGGGATAGGACTGTTTGCCCTAATTTCCTTTCCATCTTCTGTAGGATGAGAGCCACTCAGAGTGGGTGTCTTGTGTCCGCTTCTCGCCCAACAGCAGCAACCCTATCATCGTCTCCTGTGGCTGGGACAAGCTGGTCAAGGTGAGCGTCAAGCCAAGGCAGGGGCTTTACCAGTCAGGGTGTGCTCCCAGGTGGTCATACACTCCAAGTCCTGTGGAAAGCTTTGCAGATGCCCTCAGTTGACTCTTTCTCTTGTCACATGGTCTGATGTCCCTTGTAAGTCAGCACACTGCATTGGATATGTGTTATAATCTAACGTGAAGTGGCCAGGACATGTTACTGAATGAGAAATGGCTACCGTATCCAGAAGTGCCAAGCCCTTTTTTGTTGGGCCTGACCCTAGCTCATCAAGAGCTAGGATGTTCACCTGTCAACCGCACGTCTATGCAGGTATGGAACCTGGCTAACTGCAAGCTGAAGACCAACCACATTGGCCACACAGGCTATCTGAACACGGTGACTGTCTCTCCAGATGGATCCCTCTGTGCTTCTGGAGGCAAGGTATTTGGGGACAAGGCGTCTCCTACTCAGTGGAAGACAGCGTCATGGAAGGAGCACTTAGCCAGCGTCTCTAACGTAAAATGGCAAACATTAGCCAAGATGGTTTTAGGAGGATAATGAGATAATGGCAATCTGAGAATATGTTTCCAAAGATTACTTTCAGCAAATGACAGTTAAGGCATACTATCTGGAAGAAAAAGATGATTTTCTATAAGCCTGTGGGTTTTTTTTGTTGTTTTTTTGTTTGTTTGTTTTTTGTTTTTTTTTTGAGACGGAGTCTCACTCGGCTGCCAAGGCTGGAGTGCAGTGGCGCGATCTCGGCTCACTGCAACCATCTCCCGGGTTCAAGCAATTCTCCCATCTCAGCCTCCCGAGTAGCTAGGATTACAGGCACCCGCCATCACTCCTGGGTAATTTTTGTATGTTAGTAGAGAGGATTTTACCATGTTGGCCAGGCTGGTCTTGAACTCCTGACCTCAGGTGATCCGCCCACCTCGGCTTCCCAAAGTGCTGGGATTACAGGCATGAGCCACCGCACCCAGCCTAAAGTTGGTTTCTTGAAGCAGTTGATGAGATTGGGATCCTGGTTTTCAGAAATGATTGGAGTGATTTATGTAAGTTGGGAGGGGTTTTTTGATGGGGTTGGTAAGGTCTTACGTTAAAGGAAAGGTATACAGAGATAAATATTGGTACTTGAGTCATTAGCTTTCAAAGAAGCCTGGGGTAATGGAGGAAAGGTAAGAATTGATTCTGACAGAATCTTGAGATGGGCAGAATTAACATCTGGAAGAGGTCACAGTGTCCTGATTTACCTTACCTGTGTCCAGGATGGCCAGGCCATGTTATGGGATCTCAACGAAGGCAAACACCTTTACACGCTAGATGGTGGGGACATCATCAACGCCCTGTGCTTCAGCCCTAACCGCTACTGGCTGTGTGCTGCCACAGGCCCCAGCATCAAGATCTGGGTGAGTGTGGGTTACAATTGACTGGGTACCTGGCTGCACTCTGAGCCCTGGCAATGTTTTGGTTATTATATATGCCATCTGACTCCCACCTGGGAGCTAAGCTTTCTCAGCCTCCACGTAATGACATTTTGGTCTGAGTAACTCTGTTGTGGTGTGCAGTCCTGTACATTCCAGGATGTTTAGCAGCATTTCCAGCTTCTACTAGATGTCAGTAGCAAACCATCCTTCCACTAGTGGCAACTGAAAATGCATGTAGGCATTGATACATGGACCCCAGGGAGCAAAATCATCCCTTTTTAACTTGAGAATCTTGAGGGGCTTTTAAGAGGAGACTCTCTTGATTGGTAAGTCTTAAGGTTGCTTTTGCCCTGTTCCCCAGGATTTAGAGGGAAAGATCATTGTAGATGAACTGAAGCAAGAAGTTATCAGTACCAGCAGCAAGGCAGAACCACCCCAGTGCACCTCCCTGGCCTGGTCTGCTGATGGCCAGGTAAGTGGGTCTGTCCTCTCAGGTGATTCTGCTTCCAGTTAATTTTCTCCCTCTCATTCTGTTAGTATATCTAGTCTGTCAGACACAAGAGCAGTGTCCTTGGCATAAAGTGAAATGACAAGCCAGGTTGATGAGGATGCCCTCGTTTGCCATGCCAGTGAATGTGTTTCTGCATCAGAGGGAAGACTGATGTGGAACGCAGTGGCTGTCAGCCTTCAATTAATACCTTAATTAATCTGACCAGTTTTCAAATGTCTGGAGCCTTATCACCAGCTGTTTCTTCCTCAAGGAATACATAACCACCACTTACAAGCTGGCTGTTGAAATGAGAGCGGTTTCTTACAGTCTACCCGGCGTTGTGGCACATGCCTACTGGAGGCTGAGGTGGGAGGATCTCTTGAACTGCAGGGGCTTAAGGCTGTAGTGAGCCAGGATCGCACCCCTGCACTCCAGCCTAGACAATGGAGCAAGGTGGACGGATCTCAAAAAAAGCCACTTGGGCTGAATCTAGTGAGACTGCAGAATTTATGCCAGCCTGACCTGTCACTGTCATTTCTTCCCTGCAGACTCTGTTTGCTGGCTACACGGACAACCTGGTGCGAGTGTGGCAGGTGACCATTGGCACACGCTAGAAGTTTATGGCAGAGCTTTACAAATAAAAAAAAAACTGGCTTTTCTGACTTTTAGGTTTTTTTTTCTTATATGCAAAAAAGCTCCATTCTATCTACATTGCTTACACATTAAGTTTGCACTAGCGAACTGGATGCAAGGTATGGACTAAGTAAACAAGGCTTTGAAGGGGAGCTGTCCGTCTAAGTTCTCAGGATTGGGGTAGCATCAGGTGGGATGTTTGTGAGAAGTCACATAGCAGTTTCCCTGAACTTAAACCCCATCAGCGTCCTACATACCACGTGCAGATCATCAGGGCCTACCTTCAACCTGGGGAACCTTCTTGAGGGAAAGAACTGATTTCAAAGTGGTTGCAGTCAATTTTTAGAAAAAGCAGACTCCGCAGGTCCAACCCCTGACACGTAAGAGTGGAAGATGAATCCTCATTCCTCTAAAGATTTGAACATAATTCAGAAAACTTAAGCTTCATGTTAGCAGTCTCTGTCAACATGGTCTTTGAGGAAAGTCAAGGGTTTTTAATTCTTTAAGCAAGGCAGTTCTCACCAGAAGAACTTAATTCAAAACTAATTTATTCCTCAGGTCAAAAGTTTTGGGGTGGTTGGTCTGGAAGCATTCATAAATAGAACCATAAAGTTGGCCCTACTAAACATTTCAACTGCTACTATAACCTGGCCCTCAATCCCCCTACACACAAACACAGTTTATTCATGAGGATAGATGCCTTGTGAAAGGCCAGAAGTGAGCCATTAAACTACAATTACAGTTTCCAATAGAAACCTCAGTACAGGGATGGAATGGTTCAACATGCGGCTGAGACCCCACTACCCTTGCAATTTTCTGTGCTAAGCAACTACAGCATATTGAAGGCCCACATGCACCCTCCACTTCCTACTCCCCTCAATTTATAATGGTGATGAGGCATTTCTGGCTTCAGTTTCAACTACGTGTGGCAAACATCTCTAAGTAGACTGAACAGTTAGTAAGTTAGGTTAAGATATTAAAATGGGGAGCAGGGTCCACATCCCTGTTGAAATAGGAGCCTGCCTGGTAACAGGTGCAAAGCATGCCTTTAACTGCAACTAACCAGTTCAGTTGTGTGGCTTCTCACTGCAGGGGCGGCAAAGGAAGAAATCCTGAGTTACACCCTCACCTGAAGGAACAGACCTCACAAGAGAAGCAAATAAACATTTTATTTCCACAGCACGCCTTCCCTTTTCCCAAAGAACATGAGTTCACCTCAGCCATCAAAGCAGAGGGCGAAAGCTGCAAGTGACAAGGCAAGAGGCTCCTAGAAAAATAGATTATACCCAAGGCTCTCCTCCTGGGGACCCAAACCCGTCCCCAGGCTCCCCCTCAGAGCTTGCCAAATGGAGTGAAAGGCATGGAAAGGGGCTGGGAGAAAAGCCAGCTCCACTGAACAAAGGGGAGAGGAGCCTGGCAGTGAGCAGACCTGGGAGGGGTGTGGGGTGGGATGAGCTTTGCTCCTTGGTTGAGTGCTGGAAAAGGGAAGGGGGAAGAAATAATTTATGTTGATGTAATTAATGTAATGATGATGTAATGGTGCGTGGTTTCAATCATGGCGACCATTCCAGATCTCTCTCAAGTGAAGCTAAATTCTGGCCGGTCTATGGAGGTAGAAATTGAGGACGGAAGGAAAGTTTAGAATCCCTCCTCCCCAGGAGAATAGACATTTATTACCCAGCTCTACCCTTTGGCCCAGCCTGCCTCCCCAAATGGCTTCCAAATCCCTCAGCTAAAATCTGCATCAGAAAATGGAATTGGAATGGGGATGTTGCCTTGCCCAAACCCTCCAGCCTCAGAACTGATAAAGAGGTTGAAGAGCAGGGGTGGGGAAAAGGAAGTTAAGGAATGAAATTACAATTTCCCCTCATCCCCTACTCAAATTCCAGTCCCAGGGCTGGGCTAGGCAGACTGGGAGAGAAGACCAGGCAGCTGTTCTCATTATCAGGGACCCATGCAGACCTGTTGGACAGACATAGTAGGTGAGAGAAGGCTGAGCTGGAGGCCAGGAGGGTTCTTTAGGCTCCTAGAGGGAGAAGCAGGGGCCTGGGGTCAAGGGGGAGTGGGAAGCAACACAGTAACAAGCAGTGGGAAGAGCCTTTGAGCCCTCAAACTTACGGGCCACCCTCCACCACCCACCCCCCAAGTGCTGACAGAGGGGCCCCTGCGGGTGGCAGGATAATCAAGGGCAGAGCTTGATGCGGGTGCCCTTGGAGAGCACCCGGAAGAAAGGAAAGACACGCTCGCCCAGGAAGGCAGCCGAGAAGGTGTGCACGTGGGCTAGAGTCTCTGCGTTGTAGAAGCCCAGGCGCCCAGCTTCATAGTCCAGGTACACACCAAAGCGCCTTGGTTTCTCACTGGGGCTCAGCAGCGTCTGTTCTGTGGAGCTCTGGGCCTGATAGCGTTTGCCGTTGGTGCCCACGCACCACACTTCCCGCTGGAGCAGGGGCTGCTGGGGCAGGTGGAGCCGGCGGCGGCGATGGTGATGGCGCGAGGAGCTGGCATCCCCGCTGCCCACGGAGGAACCCCCAGGGCCCACCTTTTCCTTATGATGGGTTGATTCACGGGCAGCACCCACCGCCCAGCCCCGCCGCCCGCCCACCTCTACCTCCCAGTAGTGCCGGCCGGAGCGGAAGCCCTGGGCCCCCAGTACGCAGCAGTCGGCCGAGAAGCGCTTGGGATGGTCAGCAACCTCCTGCCGCCGCTCTGCCAGGCGGACCCCCCGGCGGTCAGGGGACAGCATCAGGGCCGGGTGAGCCGTGTCAGGGTCCAGCGTCAGGTCCACTTGGGAGGGAGGGAGGACAAATACGCCAGGGCTGGAACGGCTGTTCCCCTGTCAGCAGCCAACTCCACAGATTGGGCCCCCTTTCTCCCTGAATCCAGCTCCCCACACCATCCCAGAGGCCAGCCTCAGATTCCTGCAGGCTCATCTTGCTCCTCACTCTTGTTCCTAGGATACCTGACAGGTCTTCCCCCAGCCTGGCTCTTCCTGCCACTCCACCCCACCCCACCCTCCAGGCCTGCCTGCACTAGGTCTACCTGCTCATGGCTTGAAACCTCAACCTCAGAGTGGCTGCCTGGATCCTGCTCCATCTCAAGCCCCACAGTTTCCCTGGGGCCCAACTTCCCTCAGGACCCAGTCTCAGGTCTGTGAAGGGAAAGGCAAAGGAAGGTCGTGGAGGTGACCTCCCTACCTCTCGCAGCCTGACAGAACATCCGGCTCATTTTCCTCACGATGGCATCTGTCAGGAAGTCATGGCTATGGGGTTGGCACGGGTCAGGGGACCAGACCTCTGGGGGCTGCAGCTGTACCTCTTCACACCTGGAGGAAGGGGACCGGGCAGGGGGTGGGACCACGATATTCCCAGAGGGAAAAGCAAAAGCTGAGGGGAAGGAGAGGAGGGTCCAGGAGATGGAAACTCAGGTCCTGGGGAAGGAAGGAGAGGAGAGGGATACCGAAGAGAAGCAGGGACAGGGAACCAGATGCCACTGGGTCACGAAGGGCAAAGACTGGGAACACACCTATTGAAAGTCTCCTTGATGTCCTGGGAATAAGAGAAACAAAAAGAGGGAGAGGGAGAAAGAGATAAAGAGAGTGTCAGCTGCACAGGGACAGCGTTCCCCGATCTCCAGTCAGAGACTGAACCTGAGCAGGAAGGGAGAAGCAGCACCCTCACGGCCCTCAATGAACACACATCCATTTCAACCACCCCATGCCTCGCCATACCTAACTCGCCTCATCCTGCTGTGAGCCCAGGGATACTGTCATTTCCACAATACGACTTGCTCACCTTTTTCAGGATGTCACTGTCAAAAAGACTTTCCTCAACTGTCATTTAAACCTCTCCTACAACCGAATCTTCATGCTTTTCACTGGGTATAATCGCCACACATACCACATTCGACATTAACTCTGTTTCCAGCTTTAAAACATGTTTTTGGTCTTCAGGTTCAATCACTGTGGGTTCCTCCCAGGGAGAAAAGAGGCAGCTCTGGACAGGCGTTTGGTAAGCACTGCCTGACAGCCAACACAGAATGCTGGGGGAACAGGGAGGGGACATTGCTCACCTGGAGCAGCCGGAGACCCCCCTGCTGGCTCCGCTCCTGGGCCTCTGCCAGCAGGCGGCTGAGCTGGGCGGCCTGTTCTGCAAGGCGACTAGCCGCGGCTCCCGCACGCCCCAGCTGGGCTTCATGCATCTCTCTGAGACGCCGTTCCAGCCCTGCCTGCTCTTCAGCCAGAAACCGTGTCAGTCGCCCAAACTCCGAGGCCACCGCTGCCAGCTCTGACTTCATCTGGCTCTGGAATGGTGCAAAGGGGATGGCAGACACCACCTCAACACGTACGAAGATAACCTCCAGTTTTGCAACTACTACTTCTCAATGCAAGGCAAAGGAGCCCTACACTCCCCAGGTCCAAGATAGTCCCGGAAAGAGGCTCATCCCCTACCAGCCTTACCAGATACCACCCCCTTGCTCCCAGCACAGTGGTCTCAAACTCACTAACCTCTGCCTGGAACACTCCTCTCCACCTGACTCTACCTAAGTTGACTCATCCTTCAGGTCCAACCTTAAATATTCCAAGACAAGCCTTCCCTCCTCTCCAGATCTAAATCGGGACCATCCCCACAAATATCACTGTATCTCTCTGTGGCACATATAATATTGAAACGTTGTGTTTAAATGACGTAACTGTTAACATCCTTTCCCCCACTGTACCATGAGCTCCCACTGACAGGGACTAGGAATGTCTTTGTTTGCCAGGGTCCTCGGACCCTGACATAGTACCAATCAGAGTAGGCACCTGGTAAAAATTTTTGAAATGAATAAATAAAAGAATTCAGGAATCAAAACATGAAGTTAGGGTCCCGACGCCATTAAACACAGTGACCTTAAGAAAGTCACCCAAAAGCCCCAGATCAGAACTCGGAAAAACTTTTTCTGTGAAGGTCCAGATAGTAAGTATTTTTATGCTTTGTGGGCTAAGAGGCAAAAATCAAGGATATTATGTAGGGACTTAATATCCTGTAACAGAAAAAACTCCTGCCCAGTCCCACCCTATTTGCCAGGGATGGCCCTTCCTGGGTGGTAGGCACACTTTTCACACAGCTACCATCGGCTGCAGACGCTGTGAGCAGCAGGCCAGAGGAGGGTCCCAACTGACCAGACGCGTGAGGGAACAGCCGCCACAGTCAGCTTCACTCTATGCCAGGGGCACACAGCTCCTGTTACCTCTATACCCAGGAGAGCCCAAAAGTATCAACTTGGGCAGCTGGCCAGAAGCACGATGACTTCCTACTCCCAGACAGATCCTACCATTCAGTGCCTAGCAGTCGCCAGCAGCAGAGTCCCTAACGTTCAGGTGGCAGTGAGCATGGGCCCTGGGTAGTGGCAAGGCCCAGGCACTGGCTGGGAAGGGAGGAGGGAAGAGGGACAGAAGGGGAGGTCCTGGCTTGGTCTATGAAGCTCACAGTGCCAGCCCATCCCAGCAGGACCTGCTGGGGTTATGAAAACAGGCGGGAGGTGGGGATGGAAAATGTATCTTAAAAGACTCCTTGGAGAAGGGCGAGCAATAATGGAAAAAAACAACAAAAAAAGCGGGGGGGTCGGGGTGTGCTGAGAAAACACTAGACTAGGAAATATTAGGTCTCTGCAGTGCTAACATACACTAAATCCTGCCCCAGCTTAAACACACTGGCCCCCTCTCAGGACACAGCAAGTGTCCCAGGACAGTGTCCGCCTCATGCTTAGGGCTGCTCTGCCCAGTGCCTGCATGGATCCTGGGGCCGGCAGCTTCTCTGATGGCTGCTATGTGGGTTTTGCTTTGCCCCCTTCAGGCTCTGGTGTCGGGTAGAAAGCCTGTTCTGCAGCCTTGGGCCAGGCACCTAGGCCCTCCAATCCAGGCCTCAGTTTCCACTCCATTTTGGAACCAGGAATGAACATGCCTCCTGATTCTCTAAGGCCCCGCTCTCCTCAGCACCTAGGGAAAGCATCTACCCCTCTCCCAGGCCTTAGCTGTCCCCTCCTCAGGGGACCAAGTCACTCCCTGTGAGAGTGGGAAGCCCTACCTTCCTTGCCTCGACTGTACTGCCCATCAGCCCCGTCGAGAACATTCACCCACCTTCAGTTCTGTCACTCGCCTCTCCTCCTTGGCTTTCATCTTCTGCACTGCCTCCAGGTGCTTCCTCAGTGGTTCCACGTGCCCCTGCAGTTTGGCCTGAGGAAACAGAAAAAGAAAAGTGGGGGCTGGGAGAGGCACCTGCCCTTCAGAGCCTACCTCTGCAATCCTCCCTATAGCAAGATGGGTCAAAGCCTGATCCCTACCCCCGAAAATGGGTGTCAAGTGAGTATTATACCTTCCTCCACTTTCTTCTTTCAGATGATGACAAAAGCCTCCAATCCCTCTGTGCACGTCTGCAGAAGCCCTGTGTGTATTTTTTTTTTTTTTTTTTTTTTTTTTTTTTGAGACAGAGTCTCGCTCTGTCGCTCAGGCTGGAGTGCAGTGGCACGATCTTGGCTCACTGGAACCTCCACCTCCCGGATTCAAGCGATTCTCCTGCCTCAGCCTTCCCAGTAGCTGGTACTACAGGTGCCCACCACCACGCCTGGCTAATTTTTTTATTTTTAGTAGAGACGTGGTTTCACCTCGCCATGCTACCCAGGATGGTCTCAATCTCCTGACCTCGTGATCCGTCCACCTCAGCCTCCCAAAGTACTGAGATTATAGGCGTGAGCCACCGCGCCCGGCCGGCCCTGTGTGTATTCTCTAAAGGTAGGAGCCTCAAGACTAGAGAGCTCCCACGCTCACAGCTGAGGGGAAGTGGCTTGAGCCCCGCACCAGAGTCTTTCCAGGGGTGCCCTCACCTTTGGTCCCCTTCCCCTTCACAGGCGATCTTCCCCAGAACTCTTCTCTCTAAATACTTTTCTGATGATTTTTTTCCTATGCTAAAACCTTTCCATGGGTCACCACCACTTCCAAAACATTGACCCCACACTTCCAGCCTCACCTCTACACTCAACGCCTTCCACACAGACTCTTAACACGTTTGACCACATAAAATTACTTGTCATTTCCTGAGTATAATTCCATGCTGTTCCCTCTGTCTGGGAGTGCCTTTCTCCACTTGGCCCAAGGTATTCTTCCTTTAAAACAGCTCCCTGAAAATGGCCCTGATCCTCCCCACCCCCAACATCCTCTGTGATCCCAAGAAATATCTAATACATGAGTTCCCAGGGCACCAATGACAGGTGTGCCTCCTCCAGGACACTGCGGAGTCCCTGCCCACACTCTACTTATTTCAACTTCTTTGCTTCTTTCTGCTCATCTGCTTTCTCTCCTGCTCAATTACTTGCTAAATGGCAAAGGACACCGAAACCCCTCTTCCAAAGGTTGTAACTGTTATAGCCAATAGGCACACGAGCTCTGTGTTTCTACAATTTGTAGCCAAATACTTTTCTTTAAAGGGCTGTTAGCCCAGAATGAGTGGAATAAGCCCTACCTATTTGCTCTTACCTTTTCTATGTCTTCTACTAGCCTGTCTCCTTTTCTTTGAGAGAGAATATAGGGTAGGAGAGCTCCAGCCTGACTCCAGTCAGGACCAGAGGGAAGTGAAGTGACCTCAGGCAAGCCATGCTTTCAGTTTCCTCAGCTTCAAATAAGAAGAGAATGGACCTCATGGATAGCACACTTACTGCAGTGCCTGGCATGTAGCAGAAGATCAGTAAATGTTATCTAATATTTGTTCCCTATACCTTAAGCTGCCAGTGACATCCTGATAATGACCCCTGAACTAAAGAGTTTACCAAGCCAGAGTGCAAACAGCAGTTGCTGCACAGGATAAGTGGTTGTAGACAAAATTACAGTAATAATGGAATTATAGTCAACTCGTGACAATAGCATGAACTACACAAAATTTGGCCTTCTGATATAACTTTCTACTTTTCTAGTCAATAATTTCTCCATTAATTCAGAATTTATAACGCTTAAATTTACCATTTACTGTTTTTTTTTTTTTTTTTTTTTTTTTGAGACAGAGTCTTGCTCTGTCGCCTAGAATGGAGTGCAGCAGTGCCATCTCGGCTCGCTGCAACATCCAACTCCTGGGTTCAAGCAATTCTCCTGCCTCAGCCTCCCGAGTAGCTGAGATTAAAGGTGCCCACCACCACACCTGGCTAATTTTTGTATTTTTAGTAGAGACAGGGTTTCACCATGTTGGCCAGGCTGGTCTTAACTCCTGCCCTCAAGTGATCTGCCCACCTCTGCCTCCCAAAGTGCTGGGACTACAGGTGTGAGCCACCGTGCCGGGACCCTAAATTGCTGACAAAAACAAAAATTAATAAGCACAAATTCAAACAGAGTTCTATTTAAGATATATTTCCTTTTTTTTTTTTTTTTTTTTTTTGAGATGGGAGTCTCGCTGTGTTGCCCAGGCTGGAATGCAGTAGCACAATCTTGGCTCACTGCAACCTCTGCCTCCCAGGTTCAAGCGATTCTCTTGCCCCAGCCTCCCGAGTAGCTGGGATTACAGGCACATGCCATCATGCTGGCTAATTTTGTATTTTTAGTAGAGACGGAATTTCACCATGTTGGCCAGGCTGGTCTTGAACTCCTGACTTCAAGTGATCCACCTGCCTCAGCCTCCCAAAGTGCTGGGATTACAGGCGTGAGCCACCACAGCCAGCCAGTTATAAGAGAAATTCTCAAAACATTTTTTCTTTTTTTTTTTGAGACAGAGTCTCGCTCTGTTGTCCAGGCTGGAGTGCAGTGGCGTGATCTCAGCTCACTGCAAGCTCCACCGCCCCCGGGTTCACGCCATTCTCCTGCCTCAGCCTCCCGAGTAGCTGGGACTACAGGCACCCGCCACCATGCCCGGCCAACTTTCAAAACATTTAACTGTCGGGCAGACACAGTAATCCCAGCACTTTGAGGGGCCAAAATGGGAAGATTGCTTGAGGCCAGTGGTTCAAGACCAGCCTGAGCAACACAGCAAGACCCTGTCTCCACGAAAAAAAAAAAAAAAAAATTAGCTGGGCATGATGGCACACACCTCCAGTCCCAGCTACTACTCAGGATCACCTGAACCCAGAAGGTCAAGGCTGCAGTGAGCTATGATCATGCTACTGCATTCTAGCCTGGCCAGAGTGAGACCCTGTCTCAAAAAAAACAAAACAAACATGTAACTGTTCAGGAACTATATTTACATATCATTTGTGTGTTATTACCTATTCAACAAAAAAAATTTTTACAAAACATTTTGCCAAGCTACTGGTTACTGCATGTACATATCTGAAAAGAATAAATGACCCACTTGTGGCTGGGCGCGGTGCTCACGCCTGTAATCCCAGCACTTTGGGAGGCCGAGACGGGCAAATCAGAAGGTCAGGAGATCGATACCATCCTGGCTAACATGGTGAAATCCTGTCTCTACTAAAAATACAAAAAAATTAGCCAGGCGTGGTGGCAGTCGCCTGTAGTCCCAGCTACCTGGGAGGCTGAGGCAGGAGAATGGCGTGAACCTGGGATGCGGAGCTTGCAGTGAGCCGAGAACACGCCACTGGACTCCAGCCTGGGCGACAGAGCGAGACTCCATCTCAAAAAAAATAAAAATAAAAAAATAAATGACCCACTTGTAAAATAGCCTATTAAGTCAGAAAGGGAATCACTCAA
Organism: Homo sapiens; assembly: GCF_000001405.40. Lineage (NCBI taxonomy): Eukaryota > Metazoa > Chordata > Mammalia > Primates > Hominidae > Homo > Homo sapiens. Next base: position 181,227,293 of record NC_000005.10, on the reverse strand, counting down.
ATTAGTCCTATACAATAAAACTATGTATTTACATTTACTCATCACTTAATGTCAGATTAAATATGTGTATATGGCCTCCCAAACTGCAGAGCGCAGTAAACAGATCAAGAAAAGAGAGTATGGCCAGGCGCAGTGGTTCACGCCTGCAATCCTAGCACTTTGGGAGGCCAAGTTGGGCGGATCACCTGAGGTCAGGCGTTCGAGATCAGTCTGACCAACATGGAGAAATCCCGTCTCTACTAAAAATACAAAAAATTAGCCAGGTGTGGTGGCACATGCCTGTAATCCCAGCTACTCGGGAGGCTGAGGCAGGAGAATCGCTTGAATCCGAGGCAGAGGTTGCGGTGAGCCAAGATTGTGCCATTGCACTCCAGCCTGGGCAACAAGAGTGAAATTCTGTCTCAAAAAAAAAAAAAGGGGGGAAAAGAAAAGAGATTATGACTTTTTTTAATTCCTCACCTACTTCAGGACCTAATACGGGATTTCAGGCAGCTGGCATTGAACAAATTTGGCTAATGCAAATTAAAATCCAGTTTCAGAAGCTCCTTGGAGCAGTCCTACAGGGGGAGGTGAAAGAGAAAGGGTGGAATGCCCATGGATAGTTTGGCCTGGGTTCCTGTTCACAAAGTGACCACACATGATATGATGGGTATGGTTAACTAGGAACTGAGGAGATGGAAAGGACAACAGGACCTCACAATCTCTGCTAAAAATGCAGGGACTAACAGCTAGGCAATGTTACCAATGCAGTGATCCCCATGCTAGACTGGGCTTTTTAAAGATATTCTCCTACTCACTGATTCAGAAACTCTAGTGGTAGGATCCACTGTATTTTTGAAAACCTCCCCTAGTAATTCCAACAATCAGGCAGGTTTAACAATCTTTGTGTAGCCAGGCACAGTGGCTCATGTCTGTAATCCCAGCACTTTGGGAGGCCAAAACAGGCGGATCACCTGAGGTCAGGAATTTCAGAACAGCCTGGCCAACACGGTGAAACCCCATCTCTACTAAAAATACAAAAATCAGCCAGCTGTGGTGGCGAGTGCCTGTAATCCCAGATACTCAGGAGGCTGAAGCAGGAGAATCACTTGAACCCGGGAGGTGAAGGCTGCAGTGAGCCGAGATCATGCTACTGCACTTCAGCCTGGGCAATAGAGTGAGACTCCGTCTCAAAAAATTAAAAAAAAAAAAGGCCACTCTGTAAAAGAAATTGTTACTTGTGATGAGGTAATGTAGGTATGTCTAGCTGTACCACTCAGAGCTGAGAAACCCTAGACACATTACTCTAAAATTGGGGTAACGAAAATAATACCTAAATGAAGTTATAGCAGGAATCAGGAGAAGGTCTGAAAACATGAGTTATAAAACAAAAAAAGCTCTGTGCAGACCACACAGAGGCTACCCCCTCCTCCTCCTGGTCCCACTGCTTCAAACCCATCCAGGCCTTCACTAAGTAGTGCTATTTGTGCTGGCTGCCTTGCAAACAAATCTCCTTTACCTATGTCCAAAGAAGAGTCAAAATGAGAAGTAGGGGCAAGGTATTTGTCAAACTAGAATCAGACTCCAAGAAAGTCACATCAGAAAAGTCAAACAACAGACATCCAAATGGTGGTGGCGTTGTTAGTATACACCAGGGGAAGGGACAGTAAATAACTAAGTCAATTATTACTGAAGCTCTGTGGCCCTCTGTATGGTACTTAAAGCCTCTCTGACTTTGTTTCCCAATCTATAAAATGGGAATGGAAAACATATCAAACTCAGTGTTGTCTGGGTTTTAACGAGACAGTCCATGAAAAGTGCCTAGTACAGTGCCTGGTATACATATAAATGTCCAGTGAATATTAACTATCAATCCTGGACAAATTAAAGTCCAAAGACACTCACAGACTTAATCAAGATTTGACAATGCAACTTGCAGAGCCAGGTCTTCTGACTGAAAAGCTCCTGCTTTCTAGTCAGTGCATAAGAATGACACAGAGCCAACCAAAGTCCTTGAAGACAGAACCAAGCCATATCGTGGTAGGTGGGGAACCCACTGGGAGGCAAGTGCAGAGCATTTGGGTCTGACACTGACACTAGCAGTTATCTCTGTGTTCCTGCTTCTGAGCCTTTTCTTGTCCTTTGAAGCCCCCAGTTCTTTCCATCTCTAGGTGTCTCCGTCAAGGACAGACTTAAGACTCACCCGAAAGAAAACGAGACTTCTGGTAAAGCCCTAGAGACCTGATCTGGCATCACCGGCTTTGCTCTATTTGCTTTGAGGAAGCCATCCTTCCCTGGTCGTCTTCACTGCATCTGCTCTGTGTACAGAATCCTTCTCATTCTAATCCACCTTGGTGGCAGTAAGTGCTTAGATAAGCAAACTTGGCTCACCAATACCATGAGGTTCTTTGGTGGGTGAAGAGATGTTTCCTTTTCCCAGGTCCCCTTACTTCCTCTCCATCCCCCCACTAAACTCCCATCTTCTCTCTGTACTTCTCTCACCTTGTACTCCTGCACCACCTCCTCCAATGGCACCACGCTGTGCTGTTTGTGGCTCCTGGATTCTCGGCACACCACACAGATGGCCTCTTCGTCTACCTCGCAGAAGAGCTTCAGGGCTTCTTGGTGTTTGGGACAGATGCCCTGATCGGTCACGCGGCTCCCTCGACCAGGGGTTGGGTGCATCTGCCGAATCACCTGGACCATATTGGCCAGCTGCAGGTTGGGGCGGAAGCTCCGCCGAGGAAAGCTCTTTCGGCACTGAGGGCATGTGAAGCACCTCCGAGGGGCTGGAGGCGGGGGCAGTGGGGTGACGGGGTCTAGATCCTCTTCCTCAACCTCCTCCAGCACTTCCTCCTCGTCCTCCTCATCCTCCCCCCTCAGGTCCTCCTCCTCCATGTCCCCCAAGTAGTAGTCCAGGTCTTCCTCCTCGTCCTCCTCCTCCCACACATAGTCCATGTTGTCCCAGCTGGACCTGCTCATGCCACTGGTCCAGAACACACCCTCTTCTTCCTCCTCGACCTCCTCCTCCATGTCACCCTCGTAGTCTTCATCCCGCATGGGGGTGTCCCACCCCGCGCCAGCCCCCACAGCCTCCACTTCCTCCTCCTCTCCGTCCTCCTCCTCCTCCTCCCGATCTAACTCATCTCTGTCCTCCTCATCCTCCCCACCCCACAACTGGGTTACACAAACTCGGCAGAAGTTGTGCCCGCAGCCGATGGACACGGGGTCCGTGAAGTAATCGAGGCAGATGGCGCACACCGCCTCCTCCTGAAGGGTCTGCACAGGGTTGGGTGTCATGGCAACGGCAGCCATCTTAGTGTCCAGCCAGCCAGTGTAGAGGTTCGGTGGGGGGGCGAGGGGCGGGGGTCTTCCCTACCGACGCCCTGGCGACCCGGCTCCACCCCCAGCCCTGCCCCTCCACACCTCGCCCCAAGAGCAGCCAGAGAGATGTCCTGCCGACAACCCACCCCAACACAGTGTTCCCTACTCCCAAACGACAACCGTGTCTCTACGAGGGGAGGGGACAGTGCTGGGCGCCACCGCCAAGTCCCTCAGGTGGCTCTGAGTACAAGTCTGCCCCAATGCTCCCTTGGACTCCTCATAAACCCCCGCCCCTCCTCACTTCCTGGCCCCGCCCCTAGCTTCCGGCCTCCTTCCCAACACTTCCGGCGTCTACACACCACCTAAGCTCGCGACTTCCCTCCGCTGTCCTGCTACTCCCCCTTTTTCCCCGCGGGGCCCCAGGGCGACAGGAAATGGCGAGGAGACGCTCTAGTCCGCACTAGAGAACAGGGCGGGAGGGCTAGGACGGTGGAGGCCCGCGTCTCTGTGGTAAGAGGCCGCGGGGAACGCAGAAAGAACAGAGGAACCGCCTACCCCCATCCCCCGCCGCTGGGGAGAAACTTCGGGGGGTAGGGGGAGCGCCTGGCGGCCGTCTGCTTTCGGTGCTATCACCGCATCGGCCAGACGCCATCCTACCCTCCCGGCACAGCCGACTGCAGCCGGTACTCCCCACAGCCGATGCCGGAAGCGAGGGGGTGGGTCCGCGGCGCGCCCTGAAGTACTTCCGGCCCTTCTAGGCAGACGACTTCGTTGTGGAGGACTCAGAGGGTCGTCCGGGTCGGACCGGGGGCGGGGCCTGAGAAAGCGCTTCGCGGGTTAGGGCAGCAGACGCCCCACCCTTCCCCAACTGTAGTCGGCGTTTCGCATCCGAGGTAGAAACTGCCAACCGGACACTGTCTCATGGTTTAGATGAACTTCCCTAACTGCCCAGCAGTGAAGAAGTGGTGACGAATCATTACATCTACATTCTCACAGCATCTCTGCAAAAATAGATGCTTTGTGCGGTAGAAATAATACTTGATGCTTAAATAGCTCTTTAAATTTTATTTTTATAGAGATTTGATGTCGATACATAAATAAATAAATGTTGTTTGATGCGAGAAAAATGACGGGGCCATGATTTATGTACAGAATCTCCAGTGAGTGCCAGACACAGCGTGACGCCAGGGCTGGGCCTGCAGAACTTACCCTGCTCTCAAGGCGGCTCGCGGGAAAACTCCAGATGGACGTCGCGCTTCCTAGGGGGGTGGTCAGGCCTCTGAGTATGTCAGATCAAACGCGCCAAAAACCACGAACCCTCGTGGGTGAACTATGCTAGGCCATTACAGGACCTGCGGACTCGGCTGCGGTGGACAAGTCCGGCTCCAGAACCTGGACACCGCTCAGCCGGCCGCGGCAGGGGTCCCCGGGCCTGTCCTACAAGGGCGCTTGCCTAGAGCTATCCCGGCCGTCTCAGCCGTGTGTGTCTTCAGGACGATGCCGGCAGGAAAGTAGCCAAGGTGGTTTCCGTAGTGTAGTGGTTATCACGTTCGCCTCACACGCGAAAGGTCCCCGGTTCGAAACCGGGCGGAAACACGTTTTGGTCTGTTCGGGAGATTCTCTCCCGAGGCCGGCCTTACGTGGCAGGAAGGACATGTGTGTCCCTGCGCTTCGGAGGAACACGGACTGGGGCAAAACTGAAGGAGAGCACTACTCAAGTAAATTCAGGTCTCGCCCCTCACCTAATCTCTTGCTCTTCCCTTCTGAAGCCTATGCAGCCATCACATGTACAGGAATCCGTAGATTTCAGATCCTCGGCTCTAGTGCCTAGAACAGAGCCAGGCGCAGGCGCTTCTTAGTATTTGCACAGTGGAAACGTGCTTACACCTCTGAGGGTAACCTCCATCTTCAGAGACAAAGTTAGAATACAGACATGGCCGCCCGGCTAGCTCAGTCGGTAGAGCATGAGACTCTTAATCTCAGGGTCGTGGGTTCGAGCCCCACGTTGGGCGTAATTTCGCTTTTTGGAAAGGTTAAGGCAAGTTGTGTTACCTAAGTGCACAAATGGTATTCTCTGTACCAAGACCTAGTGGGTAGCAGATTCACCAACAGTGGGTGTTAGAACTTGGACTAACCTGGTGTTCTCCGATCCGTGTGTGGAAGGCCCCGAGCAGAATTCTCACAACGTTTGCACCCTCGCTAACTCTCAAAGAAAGAATGAGAGGCGGGTACCTGTGGACCAATTCCTGCAGGCCAGCACCGCGGGCTATCGTGCATGCATGACCCTTTGCTGTAGGCCACTCGCCCACGGGCAGCACATATTAGGCATTTTATGTTTACCAGACGGCCTGCCCCCGTCTTGCTGTGAGACTTGCTGTGCTGGAGGGAACAATGTGGTTTATCGAAACTGGGGTGAGACCGCAGGACGACCCCAGGCGTTCGTGAGCGTCAAAACCTATCTGATTCACTCCCACTTTACTGGGAGATTTAGTGGTTAGGCTTCCGCCTTTGTCTCGCTACGACCTGCTTTCGACTCCCTGTCAAGAAAGATGCTTTGTGTCATATGAGACACTTGTCTTCCGTATATTCTTTTTTATGCTCTTGACTTTAAGAGTCTATTTTTGTGAGATGTTGCCCCACAAATACCAGCCTCCACGTTTCCCCCATACATAAATAGAGATAAAAACGGGCCATGCGCCGCGGTGGCTTATGCCTGTAATCCCAATACTTTGGGTAAGCCAAGGCGGGAGGATCGCTTGAGCCCAGGATGGCCTCGAAATTAGTCCTGCAAATATAGGCCTTTTTTCTTTTTTTCTTCTCTTTCTTTCTTTCTTTTTTTTTTTTTTTTTTTAAGATGGAGTCTTGCTCTGTTTCCAGGCTGAAGTGCAGTGGCACCACCTCGGCTCACTACGACCTCCGCCTCCCGGGTTCAAGTGATTCCCCTGCCTCAGCCTCCCGAATAGCTGAGACTACAGGCGCGCCACCACGCCCGGCTAATTTTTTGTATTTAGTAGAAACGGGGTTTCACCATGTTGGCAGGACGGTCTCGATCTCCTGACCTCGTGATCCTCCTGCCTCAGCCTCCCAAAGTGCTGGGATGACAGGCGTGAGCCACCGCGCCTGGCCCCGTTTTGTATTTTTAAGCTGTCGAAGTCTCCTCCGCATACGCACCACACCACGAGAGAAGTCTGTTGATCATAGAAAGCTGGCTTAATCTCGCTGAGCAAAAGATAGCATCGTCTTCTGTCTCAGACGTAAATCAAAGCGGGGACTTATGAGGGCTATATAGTCTGTGAGGGCGGTCTGGGCAGAAGTTGGTCAACGTTTGTAAATAGGCAGAGTCGCTAGTACAATCCTAGCACATGAGTTACTGGTGTTCAAAGCTGGTGTTCAAAGAGTTTTAAGTTTGACATTTCGTCTTGCACAAATTATTTCGGATTCTTTTGCAGACTGTGATTTCAGGGTTATTTTTTACCACCTTCACTGGGACTGGAAAACATTCTTAAAGGATTCTGGCTTTTTCATTAAAGTGGAGATGAAGTGGACAGGCTTCTCTTCTTTGTCCTCTAGCAAGCCAAGGGAACGCCCGCTGGAGCTTTTTGCTACAATTCCTGCTTTCTCTCCTCTCCACCCCTTCCACCCGTCGCCGCTCTGGCCAGGTCAGGTTTGGGATGCCCCTCCAGGCAAGTGACCCAAGCTGCTCCGGGCACAAAGGCGGCAAGCGTTCAACAGTCGGAGAAGCACGACACACACATGAACCTGGTGGGATCTTTGGCCTCCTCCCAAACCCTGTGGTGATGGGGCCTGGGGAGACTGAGGGACTCACTCTGATTTATATTTCAGGGGGTTCCTTCAGGAGTGATGCAAACAGGGAGTATGAGGGGGAGTAAGACTGTCGGAGACAGGGGCTGGAAGGACACAGGCCTGGTCCATACAGGAGGCGGCCGGCGCCGGGTGAGGCGGCAGCCAGAGGGAGACGCAGGTGAAGGAGCGGGATGCAAGGCTTGCAGCGGCGATAGATTTGGGTAGTTCCACAACCTAGATCACAGGCTGAGGATGCGGGAGGGGAGGGAAGAAAAAAACAATGACTTAGGTCTCGAACGGTTGGGCGTTAGATGCTGTGAGATACCTGGAAAAACTGCCCAAGACACGCGTGGATCTGAAGCTTGGGAGAACAGTTCTTGCTGGAACCAGAGACGGAGCTAAGGTGTGGGTCCTGCTGCCAGCCGACGTGACGCTCCAGGGTCAGCCTTGGGCGCTCGGAGGCGGAGACGGGATGGGAGAAAAGCCTGCAGCGAAGCGCCCACCCAGGCCTAGGGTGCCGCACAGTGCAAAGGAGATTGGCAGCGTCCAGTTCAGCACATGGTCTCGTAAGAGAAGGCGTCCATGGATTGGGCCACCTGGAGGCCCGTGGTGACCTTGACCAGAGAATCAGACGCACACAAGAAGGGCTCCCGCCCTGCGCCGAAAGGAGCGGGCCTTCGGGGTCACAGAGGCAGCAAGGATCCCTGATCAGCAGGACTGCGCCTCGCTTCCAAGCAATCCAGGTATTCGGAAATTAGGCGTCGGCGGCGGAAAAACATTTCACAATATTAAGCAATCGCTACTACTTTTAAATTTACATATATGCAGATCTCCATATGACAGGCGTTAAGCGTATTCCAACTCTACATACGTACATACCTTGGATGCTAGGATTGGCGAGTTTTATTTTTATAAAAATACTTAAAATTTTTCATTGAACTTTTAAAATGTAAAAAAAATTTCAGATTTATCTTTAAAAACCGACTTAAAATTTTGATATTCATTAATTTATATTTTGCCGTTTAGTTTAATACTTATGCATAATTCATAGAAATAAATTTTTGAAAGGACATAAGAATAATTTCACTTTTTGATTTTTATGTTTACTTTAATTTACATTTTAACAAAATATATTTAAATATCGTGTGCTTTAAATGCATTTTGCATTTTTTGAATCCTCTCTGTCATTACTGTCCGTAGAGCACAAATCATGTGAAAATTGAAACCTCTGGCTGTCTTCCCTGGAAGAAAAGGAACCACTAGGGAAGCGTATCCAGTCTTAAGCCTTGGAAGGTACATTTGCCTTTCCTCCCGCGATGCTCGCTAGTTTTTTGTTTTGTTTTTATTTATTATTATTATTCGAGACGGAGTCTCGCTGTGTCGCCCAGGCTGGAGTGCAGTGGCGCGATCTCGGCTCACTGCAAGCTCCGCATGCCGGGTTCACGCCATTCTCCTGCCTCAGCCTCCCGAGTGGACTACAGGCGGCCGCCACCACGCCCGGATAATTTTTTTGTATTTTTAGTAGAGACGGGGGTTTCACCATTTTAGCCAGGATGGTCTCGATCTCCTGACCTCGTGATCCGCCAGCCTCGGCCTCCCAAAGTGCTGGGATTACAGGCGTGAACCACCGCGCCCGGCCTTGTTTTGCTTTTAATTGCTGGAAGTGACTGGGGTACCCTTAGAGGTCACGCTTTACAGTTTGACAAACGGCATTACGCAGGGCCACAAGGAGACTGGTGTTCTGGGGAAGAATGGATCTAAGGGCCATGACTCCATGGGTGAAGCCGACACCTGGATGTTGACTATAACACTTATAAAAGTCATAGAGTAACCTCTCCGCATCTGTTTCCGTAGTGTAGTGGTTATCACGTTCGCCTAACACGCGAAAGGTCCCCGGTTCGAAACCGGGCGGAAACAAGACTGTGTTTTCCTTCCAGTTCAAAAAGGTTTCTTAGTGTGGAGTCTATGTGTATAAACGTTCACAAGTTTTGCTACACTTAGACACCGGCCGGATTTTCCAATCCATTGCCAATTAACTTCAACCTGCGTATTCCATGTCTACGTCTGTAATATGAGGGTGAGAAGTAAGTGGTCTTACTGGTCATTATTAGGGTCTTCCTGCAAAGTCCCGGCGGATCAAATACAGTCAGCCGCCGGGGAATGCCACGGAATGACAGATGAACGATTAAAAAGTGCAAGAAGGCTCGGGTTGGAAATCCTTGGTGGAAGTTCACGCCGTGGAAGGTGTGCACCGGCGGGCCAATAGTGATGCCGGTAACTACAACGTGTACCACACATCAAGTAGTCTGCAGGTGTGGCCCTGGGCTTCCTGCAGAGGAACCTAACCATTCTGGGAGGTTGTTTACAGATGAGGCCACTGAGGCATGGACAGGTCACACAAGGCTGCGGAACACGTAGGACGGAGCAAAAGGACAGGGAACGGAAAAGAAACAGGGCACAGAGAAATTCAAGTGAAATACAGGCTGGTTCAGGAGGAGGACTGCGCCACTTCGGGCGGGCCTGCAGCACTGACACGGCTTTTGGGTTCGCAGTGGCGGTGGAGGGCGGTCAAGAGGACCATCAGCCTCTCCAAGGCGTGACCGTCGGCCTCCCTCTGCACCCATCCTCACTTGCAGCTCGTCGGCTTCGGGCCGTGGGACGCGGCGGGTGAGTTGGGAGCCCGATCCCCAGGGGCCTCTTCAGCAATCTCAGGGAAAATGCTGCAAAGGCTTCAGAGAAGAAGCCGGAGGGGTGGGCGGGATCCCTAGGACAGCGCTACTGGCAGGAGAGTAAGCCCGGGGAAACCCACGTGCCATGATGCGGCCCCGGCAGCGCAGGCTGCTTCCCCGCCTAGAAAACAGGCTTCCAGCTTTCTCACACCGCACCCGCACACTTACGCAGGGGCCAGCCGCCTCTTTCCCAGCACCTCTGCCCGACGTGAAAGTCGAATAAATGCAACATCTAAGTGGCAAAGCAAGGGTCGGGCGTGTCAGCGCGCTACTGTAGCCCCAGCGACTCGGAAACCGGGCTTAAGAGTTCGAGACCAGCCTAGGCAACATAGTGAGACTGTCCCCTCCGCCCCCGCCCCCGCCCCCCGCCCCATCTCTAGGAAAAAATATATATATTTTTTTAATTAGCCGAGCGTGGTGGTGCATACCTGCAGTTCCAGTTACTACCCTAGGTCGAGGCTGCAGCGAGCCATGATCGCGCCACTGCACTCCAGCCTGGGCACCGAGCCCGTTAAAAAAAAAAAAAGGAAAAGTGGCAAAAACCAAAATTCTCTTTAACGTTTCATACATTTTAAATGCAGACAAAGCGTAATCAAAGCAGAGTCCCGTGGTGGGAAACTTGTTGGGACAGCGTTAGCATAACGTTCACAGAAAATATCAATGTCATGCCTATTTCTTCAACACCGCTCTTTCACACTTAATTGTAATTTTATACCGTCCCAGAATTTACGCATCAGGAAGTCCGGTAGTCAGCCTGGAACTCACAGACCCCATGCAGGAGAGTTCTCCCAGAAAATTCTCCCCGGCCCAACTTCTCCTCACCCCTTCCCCGCCGACCCCCCCTCGCACTCCTCCTGTCGTGTTTAACTGACTGGTTTGAAGTGAGTCTGTACTTTGCTGACGGAGTGCCTTCTGCATCCCTCTAAGCTGACCTCCTTGGCCACTGGGACTCTGGGAGGCCAGGACCATCACTCAGTCCTTTGTCACTCTTCTCTAAGTATATTTTGCTCTGTGCCTCAGCTAACGTAAGACAGTTCGCATTGGTCTTCCTTGTGGAGACAGTGAAGCAAATTCAAAGCAACACAGTCAACGTCAGCCAGCTAGCTGGGCAGGGCAACAAGATGTACAGGAAACAGTCTCTTTGGAGTCCTATTTCGAATTACATTTTAGGAACGGGCCGGGCGCGGTGGCTCACGCCTGTAATTCCAGCACTTTGGGAGGCCGAGGTGGGTGGATCACCTGAGGTCAGGCGTTCGAGACCAGCCTGACCAACGTGGTGAACCCCATCTTACCAAAAATACAAAATTAGCTGGGCGCGGTGGCACACGCCTGTAATCCCAGCTACTTGGGAGGCTGGGGCACGAGAATAGCTTGAACCTCGGAGGCAGAGGTTGTAGCGAGCCGAGATGGCGCCATTGCACTCCAGCCTGGGCGACAAGAGCGAAACTCCGCTCCGTCTCAAATGTATATATATTTGTTTGTTTGTTGGAGACGGAGTTTCGGGAGGATCCTCCGGGAGGACCCTTTGAGACCACCGCCCCCTCCACATCTCTAAATATATATTATATATATTTATAAAATATATTATATATTTATATATTATATATATTTATAAAATATATTATATATTTATATATTATATATTTATTGCACAAATAATAAATCTATTACATAAATAACACATACATTATATATTTATTATATAAATAATGAATTTATTATATAAATAATGAATATATTCTATATTTATTATATAAATAATGAATATATTCTATATTTATTATATAAATAATGAATATATTCTATATTTATTATATAAATAATGAATATATTCTATATTTATTATATAAATAATGAATATATTCTATTTTATATAATATATTAAATTATATAGATAACAAATATATTTTATATTTATATTATATTATATATAATATTATAATATTTATATTATATTATATTATATAAATATTATAATATTTATATTATGTTATATTATATATACAATTTATATTATATTATATATAATATTATACTATTTATATTATATTATATATAGTATTATAATATTTATATTATATTATATATAATATTATAATATTTATATTATATTATATATAATATTATAATATTTATATTATATTATATATAATATTATAATATTTATATTATATTTATATATTATATAAATTATAATATATTATATATTTTTATTATATATTATATATGCTATATATTTTATATAAAAATACATATATATATTTTAGAAACATGGAGTGGATGGTGGCCTCAAAGGATCCTCCTAGAGGCTTCCCAAAGTTGATTGGGCTACAGGTCTCAGCCACCGTGGCTGGCTTTAGGTTACACAATGCCACTTTGTCATTATGGATTTACAGCTTTCCTTAACTCATCTTGTTTCAGTTAACTGGAACTCAGTGCTATTACTCTCTTTTTGATGCTTGAATTGCAGCTGCTTGTTGGTGGGCGCCCCTTTGCCATGGCTCTTTGTCTTTTCAGCATTGTCCTGAGTATTTGAAAGCACCCCTGTTTCCAAATTCTGCTTTGGCCTGTCTAAAATTCCTCTACCCTATGATGCAGGAGAATATTCAGGAAGTTTGAGGGGGTTTTTTTCAGTGAAGAATAAAAGAGCCCACTCCGGGTGCCAGGACAGTGCATGGAGTCAAAACTCCTGGCTCCCTCACTTGCAGGTGCCCTAGAGAAATAGTTTGAAGGAGGCGAACTCACATCCGGGGTTCTACTGACTTGCAGCTTTGCTAGATCTTTGCTTTTTTGTTTTGTTTTGTTTTGAGACAGAGTTTTGCTCTGTTGCCCAGGCTGGAGTGCAGTGGCACAGTCTTGGCTCACTGCAAGCTCCGCCTCCTGGGTTCAAGAGATTCTCCTGCCTCAGCCTCCCGCGCATCTAGGACTACAGGCACGCGCCACCACACCCAGCTAATTTTTGTTTAGCAGGGATGGGGTTTCACCATATTGGCCAGGCTGGTCTCCAACTCCTGACCTGGTGATCCACCCACCTGGCCGCCCAAAGTGCTGGGATTACAGTCGTGAGTCACCGCGCCCGGCCTTTTTTTTTTTTTTTTTTTTTTTTTTTCAAATAAACTCCAACATCATTTCCCTACCAAATTATCTACTTAGATTTTTAACCTCTCACTCAAAAGCAATTGTAGGCCAGATATGGTGGCTCTCACCTATAATCCCAGCATTTTGGGAGGCCAAGGTGAGTGGGTTGCTTGAGCCTAGGAGTTTGAGACCAGCCTGGGCAACATGAGAAAACAAAAAGTACAAAATTATTTTCTCTCTTTTTTTCTATTTTAAAGTAGAAAATACAGAATATTTTCTAGAAAAATTAGCCCGGCGCCTGTAGTTCCAGCTATTCAGGAGGCTGAGGTAGGAGGATGGCTTCAGTTTGGGAGGAGGAGGTTGCAGTGAGCCAAGATAGCACCACTGCACTCCAGCCTGGGCAGCAGAGCATGACCTTGTCTCAAAATTTAGACAGAAAGGTGTAATGAAAGTCCAAATACACATCTCCCAGCTTCAACAACTCTCACTCTCCCACTATTCCTGTTTTATCCGTCTCCGTCCATCTCCAACCCACTGGCTCTTTTCTTTCTAATCCTCATAAATTTCATGGACTTCTCTTCTGTAGTCTCATCACTGACCGTCTCCCTTTCACTGTGGCTGTTCTGATACTCTATAACCTTTTGAAGTTTAGGGAATCATACTAACAGCTACAAATCTCATTAATTGAACCCTTATTAGGGATTAGGCACTGTCCTTTTATTTATTTTTTTTACATTTTCTTTGATGAGTCTAGAGGCTCCCTATGTTGCTAGGGCTGACCTTGAATTCTTGGGCTTAAGAAATCCAATCCTCCTGCCTCAGCCCTCCTGGGATTAAAGGCACACACCACCGTTCTAGGCATTGTCCTATGTGCTAGACTCGCATTGATTCATTGCATCCTCGAAACCAACCTGTGGTGTGCACTGTTAAAATGACATCTCATTTATTTATTCATTTATATTGCCGTAAAAAGGGATAGATCAGGTCCCTGCCCGCCTGGAGTTCACTTTCTGACAGGTGATTTAAATAACAAACAACAGGCAGATACAGAAACCACCTCAGAGAGTAAGGACTGTGACAAAATTAAAGAGGGCAACGTGGCAGAGTGGCAGGTAAACAGAAGACGGCATTATAGAGAGGGGCCAGGAATGAGGTGGCAGAACAGGTGACACTGAGCTGAGCCAGGAAAAGAGAGAGGCAGCCTTCCAAAGATCTGGAGAACAGGTTCTTGGGAGAGAGGAAGCAGAGGAAGGTCACATACTATGAAGTAGGAATGAGACTGGTGTGCTCAAGAAGGAAGACCTTGGGTGTGGGGAGGTAAGGAGCCACAGGTCTACTTCCTTGGATATGCATTCTCATGACTCCATCCACACCAGTTGCTGTTTTTGTTTTGCAAACAGATTGAAAAATGAGTGGAAGACATTGGATCTGCTATCTTACTGGACTTCCAGGCTAATGAGGCACACAGTAAGGCCTCAGTGCAGGACTGTGAAAGACAGACAAATTAGTACATAGCTTTATTCAGAAGATTTCAAATGAACAATACTCCCAGGATTTCTGAAAGTGCTATGGGTTAGGGGTTAAAGCAGGGAGTCTGTAAGAGCAGATGAAATTCGGATACCAGCTCTCCACTGCCAGCTGTGACCTAATGTCTCAGTCTCCTGTCTCCTTGTCCAGCCAATGAGGGTTCATAAGCATAAAATTCATAATTGTAATTTGAAATATATAAGAAAAGATTACCAATTGCTTAGCCGTTCGGAATGCCTCCGTTTGATAGCCTTAGTTAATGACGGAACCATTAACTAAGGAAAGTTAATGAGGGAACTAACGAAAGGGATTGTTCTGGCTGTTTCAAAAAATGATAGCTTCATAGAAAAACAGCAATATCTGTAAGCTGAATTTAAAGCCTTCAGAAAAACTAGGCCTTAACATTTGCAACTCTAATAAATTGAATATTAATCACAAAGCAAGCATGTATTCTTTTCTATATTCAGAAGCGCCCCCCGCCCCGCACCCTTAGATATTATACATCTCAAATGACAGTGATAAGCAGGGACGTTTCCCAGAATATCCTATGGCTCTACTCCAGTTGGTCCCAACACAGAATGGAAGAGCGGGCCATTCTGGGTCATCTTTTTGGCCACTCTTCCTATTGCAAGCAGTCCTCCAGAGTTAGGTTGCCCTAGTTGACACTTCAGCTTCCTTCTTGCTCAAAACTCACATTCTCCAGAACACCAGCATGTGACTGAGGCCTGCCTTTTACCTGAGGGACTCGCACCTTTAATCCAATGTGATATGATATAAACAGCAACGAAACAGTGAAGTGAGCATTTGATGGCAGCTGAGCCATCTTCCCTGATGCTACCACAGAGATCCTAGAAGAAAGACTTCCTCAAGTTCAGTAAAGAGAAACCAGTGATTGGTAAAGAAAGAGATACTGGAATATTTTTAGACTAGTTAGATTAGATAACAGCCATGAATATACTAAACCTGAAGATAATTTTCTGCTTCAAATGAGGCTTTTAAATGAAAACATTCAGAAATGGTTGATTAATAATTTACATATAAATTATATGTAATCATTCTTGTAGACCACTTCACCAAACGCATCTGTGCTCTAATAATTTATACATGCCCCAAAGGACACCAAGATCAAATGGAAAATGACATATAAATTTTATTTCTTATGTCTGGTTGGATTCTTCCTGTCCAAGGAAGAAGATGTGCAGAGTAAGAAATAACAGAGCAGGCCTTTCTAATGGTGTCCTGGCTTTGCAAGTGAAGAGAACATGATAGCTTCTTCAGAAACAGGCTTGAAAAGAGAAAAAACGACGCTGCCATATAGAATTGGATTAAGAACCGCAAATGAAAGTGACACTGTACTCTTCAAAATCTTTTATCTGAGTACATTCCTGTGTGATGTAAAGGGGCGGGGAGGGTCCTTCTCCCCTCCAGGTGGCACCCTGCACGCCCTCCAGTGGGTATTATCCTGCAGGCAGGCAGTGAGGGACTCCAGCAATTTTAAGTGGGGGAGTCACACGCTTAAATTTGTTGTCCAGGCAGCCCGTTTCCCCCAAGACCTTGGAGAAATAGGCAATCTCATTCATGGCTAGTGGGAGGTAATATCAGACTGTAGGTTCTACAGTAGGGCAATTTATCTATTTTTACAAAATTACTTGCATATAAACCTGGATGCAACAAATCTCATTTCTGGCAATTACCTCCACAGATAAAAAAGTGCAAAAGTGCAAAATGACAATTGCTACATGCTTAACTGTAGCATTGATCGTAACAACAAAAAAATTGGAAACAATGTAAATGCCCATCCATTAAGTGATCTGTTAAATAAAAGATGATTCATCGACAGCGGAATATTGAGCAGCTGTAAAAAAAGATCGAGGATATGTTCTATGTCTTGAAATAGAAAGGTCTTCAAAATAGGCCGGGCGCAGTGGCTCATGCCTGTAATCCCAGCTCTTTGGGACGCGGAGGCTGGCGGATGACCTGAGGTCGGGAGTTCGAGACCAGCCTAACCAACACGGAGAAACCCCGTCTCTACTAAAAATACAAAATTAGCTGGGCGTGGTGGCAAATGCCTGTAATCCCAGCTACCCAGCTACGAGGGAGGCTGAGGCAGGAGAATCACTTGAACCTGGGAGGCGGAGGTTGCGATGAGCCAAGATTGTGCCATTGCACTCCAGCCTGGGCAACAAGAGCGAAACTCCTACTTAAAAAAAAAAAAATCTTCAAAATATAGCACAATCATAAAATACAAAATTTTGTATAAAATACAGGAAAATAAAACTCCGCTTGTATCAGCCAGGCACAGTGACTCACACCTGTAATCCCAGCACTTTGGGAGGCTGAGGCAGGCAATCATTTGAGACCAAGAGTTCAAGACCAGCCTGATCAAAAGGGCAAAACCTGGTTTCTACTAAAAATAGAAAAAATTAACTGGGTGTGGTGGCGCACGCCAGTAGTTCCAGCTACTCAGGAGGCTGAGGCAGGAGAATCGCTTTAACCCGGGAGGCAGAGGTCACAGCAAGCTGAGATTGCACCACTGCACTCCAACCTGGGCAACAGGCTCTGTCAAAAAACAAAATAAACAAAAAGGCCGAGCGCTGTGGCTCACGCCTGTAATCCCAGCACTTTAAGGGGACGAGGCGGGCGGATCACCTGAGTTCAGGAGTTCGAGACCAGCCTGGACAAAATGGTGAAACCCTGTCTCTACTAAAAATACAATTAGCCAGGCGTGGTGGCAGGCACCTATAGTCCCAGCTACTCGGGAGGCTGAGGCAGAGAATCGCTTCAACCCGGGAGGTGGAGGTTGCAGTGAGTCAAGATCTCGCCACTGCACTCCAGTCTGGGCGACAGATCAAGAGACTCTGTTCCCCCTCCTTACCCAGCCCCCCCCCCAAAAAAAACTACTTGCATCAAAATTTCTGGAAGAATATGTACAAAAATATAAAATTGAAATTTTAAGGGGGAGTTAAACACTTTTCACTGAATTCTGTTTTATATTTTAATGTTCTTTAATTTTTATTTTAAAGATGAGGGTCTGGCTAGGTTGCTCCCGAACCCTTGGCCTCAAGCAATCCTCCTAAAAGTGCTGGGATTTACAGGCATGAGCCACCGCGCTCAGCCGAAAGATTTTTGTTTTTGGGTTTTTTTGTTGTTGTTGAGACGGAGTCTCGCTCTGTCTCCCAGGCTGGAGTGCAGTGGCGCCATCTCTGCTCACTGCAAGCTCCGCCTCCCGGGTTCACGCCATTCTCCTGCCTCAGCCTCCCGAGTAGCTGGGACTACAGGCGCCCGCCACCACGCCCGGCTATATTTTTGTGTGTTTTTAGTAGAGACGGGGTTTCACTGTGTTAGCCAGGATGGTCTCGATTTCCTGACCTCGTGATCCACCCGCCTCAGCCTCCCAAAGTGCTGGGATTACAGGCGTGAGCCACCGCGCCCGGCTTTTTTTTTTTTTTGAGACGGAATCTCGCTCTGTCCGCCAGGCTGGAGTGCAGTGGCGCCATCTCAGCTCACTACAACCTCTGCCTCCTGGGTTCAAGTGATTCTCCTGCCTCAGACTCCCGAGTAGCTGCGATTATAGGCGTCCACCACAAGGCCCGTTTGTATTTTTTAATTTTTTTTTTTTAGACGGAATCTTGCTCTGTCGCCCAGGCTGGAGTGCAGTGACGCAATCGCGTCTCACTGCAACCTCCGCCTCCCGAGTAGCCGGGATTACAGGCGCGTGCCACCACGCCCGGCTAATGTTTGTATTTTTAGTAGAGACAGGGTTTCACCATATTGGTCAGGCTAATCTCGAACTCCTGACCTCAGGCGATCCACCCGCCTCGGCCTCCCAAAGTGCTGAGATTACAGGCGTGAGCCACTGGGCCCGGCCGAAAGATGTTTTTTTTAAATTTAATTTAATTTTTGAGACGGAGTCTCTCTCTGTCGCCCAGGCTGGAGTGCAGTGGTGCGATCTTGGCTCACTGCAAGTTCCGCCTCCCGGGTTCACGCCATTCTCCTGCCTCAGCCTCCTGAGTAGCTGGGACTATAGGCGCCCGCCACCCCCGGCTAATTTTTTGTATTTTTTTTTCAGTAGAAACGGGGTTTCACCGTGTTAGCCAGGATGGTCTCGATCTCATGACCTCGTGATCCGCCCGCCTCGGCCTCCCAAAGTGCTGGGATTACAGGCGTGAGCCACCGCGCCAGGTCGAAAGATGTTTTTTAAAGCTCATTTGTGATGTAGCCTCTGTGGAAAATGGTATGACACTTCCGCAAAAACAGAAATGCCGTATGACCTAGTAATTTCACTTTGTGATGTATACTCTAAAAAAATAGAAAGCCTAAACTCAAACAGATATCTGTACACTCATGTTCATAGCTGCATTATCCACGGTAGCCAAAAGGAGGAAGGAACCAAGTGTCCATTGGCAGATGAATGGATAATGTGGTATATATGTGCAATGGAATGCTAATCAGCTTTAAAAGGAAGGAAATTTTGACACATGCTACAATAAGGATGAATCTTGAAGACATTAAGTGAAATAAGACAATTTAAAAAGGAAATATAAGGATGAATCTTGAAGACATTAAGTGAAATAAGACAATTTAAAAAGGAAATATTGCACGATTCATCTTATATGAGGTATCTAGAGGAGTCAAATTCAAAGACACAGAAAGTAGAATGGTGGTTGCCAGCGTCTGTGGGCAGAGGGGAATGGAGAGTTAATGCTGAATGGGTTCAGAGTTTCATCTGGGAAACAGGAAAAAGGACTGGAGACTGATGCACAACCATTTAAATGTATTTAATGCTACAGAACTGTACAGTTAAAAAGTGTTAAATTTTGTTGGGCATATTTTACCACAGCTTTAAATCCTAATTGTATCGCAAGATAATGGGTAGATAATGAACAGTGGAGCGCCCGCAAGAGTATTACACACACAGAAATGCAAGACTTCAGAGCAGATTATTTTCCTAAGAGCTGGTCTACTTATAATATATTTTTAGGTATGGCTAGTAGTCGTAGATTTAGGACTAAAACGACCAGTTGCCGCCCAACGTGGGGCTCGAACCCACGACCCTGAGATTAAGAGTCTCATGCTCTACCGACTGAGCTAGCCGGGCGCCCGATGACCGTATCTCAACAATTTTTCATTCTAGATCAGAGTCGGAGTGTATTCAACTGCGGGTTTGAACTTGGATTTATTTGGAGTGTGATAAAACTACTAAAGTGCCTCGGCTCCTGGGAAATTCAAACTCTGCCGTCAGTGCCTGACCGTCCCTCCCACTTACGTCCGTTTCCTGCCCCTTCTACCCTACCAGCGACCAAGCCATTTTCTACCCGCGATGAAGCTCACGGCACGGAGATGGAGAAACGTGCACCCTGACGCCACTGGAGCTCTCACCGTGTGGATTTTTTTTTTTTTTTTTTTTTTGACAGAGAAGACTCTCAAAAAATGGGCCTACCTTTCACCACGAACTGCGGCTCTGTCGCCCAGGCTGGAGTGTCGTGGCGCAATCTCGGTTCACTGCAACCTCTGCCTCCTGGATTCAAGCACTTCTCCTGCCTCAGCCTCCTGAGTAGCTGGGATTACAGGCGTGTGCCACCACTCCCGGCTAATTTTTGTATTTTTAGTAGAGACGGGGCTTCTCCATGTTAGTCAGGCTGGCCTCAAACTCCTGACCTCGTGATCCACCCGCCTCGGCCTCCCAAAGTGCTGGGATTACAGACGTGAGCTACCTCACCCGGTCAAGTACCGTGTGGATTTTAAAACAGGAGGGAAAGACAATGGGGCCCAGAGGAGGGCAGGGGCCGCCGCGGTCTTTTTCTACTCCGCAGACTCCACCCTCTGGGTTTTTTCTTGGAGCTCTTCAAACATGCTGGATTTCAAAATTTGAAAGGAAAATCGAAAACAATAATTGAATGTGCAAAACTACACTGGAGATGCCGGGGATCGAACCCGGGGCCTCATACATGCAAAGCATGCGCTCTACCACTGAGCTACATCCCCACCTACTCTCAGCAGCTCTCCCAGATGGTCCCTATTGGTCGCTTAACTCAGGACACCGGGAGTGGAAGGCAACCGGTACGCGCTGGGTCTCAGCCGCTGCAAAAACCCGGCATCGCAGGGCAAGAGTTGTTCCAGCGTCCTCCGCTGACTCCAAACCAGCGGGTCTTGACCAAGGGATTCCAAGAGAGAGGATTAGGCCCGGCTAAGCACCTGGGAGCAGCTGTGGAAAAAGGAGAGACAATCATCAGGCACGATGCCAAAAATGAACTGTGACCTGAAAAAGAGAAGAAAGGAAAATTGTGCAGGATGCTACGTTTTGTTTTTTAAAAGTGGGGGTTGAGGCAATAAAATACGGAATATTTGATTAACGTAATCCAGAATTGTAAAGTTGATTGCTCGGGAGGAAGAAAGGACTGGGACACAGGCGATGGGCCTACTTTCCACCGTGAACTGCGGCTCCTCTTTTGAATTTCGAACCAAGTTTAATCCAAGAAAACCTTACTGAGCTTGCCAAGAACTGCTCTAAAAACAGGATTCAGCCGTGAACAAACCTAGTACAGTCCATCTGAAAGCTGACATTCCAGAGGAGATAGAGTGCGGGCACAGAGCCGGCCCTGAGAAGGGAGCGCGCTAAGAGACGACTTTACACAGTGTGCGCGTTCGGGGCGGGCTTCGTGGGCAGAGACGTTTGAAACAAGACCTGAATGAGGTGGGAGGGAGCATGCAGGTGGTGGGAGAAAAGAGGTCCACGCAAGGGGAACAGCCAGCGCAGAGGCCACGGGGTTCAGGAACAGCAAGAAGATCGGGGACACTGGGTCCTGGAAGGCCCTGAGAAGGGAAGTCGGGAAGGAGGGAGCATCCGGGGGCAGATGAGGTGAGGCGAGGTCTTCGCCTTTGGGTGAGAATTGCTGAAGTTCCCGGTGACATTGGCAAGGGCGGTTTCTGAGGAGGGTGCGGGCGAAAGCTTGATCCAAGTGGCCTCCAGAGTGAGCGAGGAGAGAGGGTGTGGAAGCGGATAACACAGGCAGCTCTGCTGCGGGGCTGTGGAGACAGCTGGGGGACAAGAGAGCGCTGAGGTTTGTGTGTGTGTGTGTGTGTGTGTGTGTGTGTGCGGTGGGGGGGGAATAATACTGAATACAATGGGAAATTATAAATGTGTTATCTGTTCAAATACTAAGTAAAGAGTAAAGAAGCCGGAGGACAGTCGCAGAAAAGGTAATGGAATGGATACAAGGCCACGCTTGCGCGTGAGGGGACAGGACCAGGTTCCAGTCTCTAAATTTAACTCAGCACAGGGCCGGGGCGAACCTGCGCTGGCGGAACCTGACACCGTGGCCCGAGCGCCAGGCCCTTGCCCCGGCGATGCTGGGTCGGCCTCGGTCGGAAACCGGGAGTGGCGCTGGCAGCATTTGTGCGCCCACCTGTCGCGGCCCGTTTCCCGCGGCTGACTGGGTCAGGCTGGGGCGGCCTGGAGAGTCTGAGGGACGGGGGCGAGGGGGAGAGGCCGCTGGCCAGGGCGGGGGCTGGTGGAGCGCAGATCCGGGGCGCAGGGCGCTGTCCCGCACTTGAATGGCCCGTAGTCAACGTGCGCCTCCCCTCCCGGCTCCCAGCCGGGCGCGCCCCGGGCTCGAGTCTCTGCCTGCCCAGTGGCAGCCCCGCCCTTCCTCTCCCAGTGGGCCCTCGGCGCCCAGCTCCGCGTCCTGTGAGGTCCAGTGGCCGCCCAGGCGCGACCAGATCTGGGTGCGCGGAGAGCGCGCATGGCGGCTGTGGGACCGCGGACCGGCCCCGGAACCGGCGCCGAGGCTCTAGCGCTGGCGGCAGAGCTGCAGGGCGAGGCGACGTGCTCCATCTGCCTAGAGCTCTTTCGTGAGCCGGTGTCCGTCGAGTGCGGCCACAGCTTCTGCCGCGCCTGCATAGGGCGCTGCTGGGAGCGCCCGGGCGCGGGGTCTGTTGGGGCCGCCACCCGCGCGCCCCCCTTCCCACTGCCCTGTCCGCAGTGCCGCGAGCCCGCGCGCCCCAGTCAGCTGCGGCCCAACCGGCAGCTGGCGGCAGTGGCCACGCTCCTGCGGCGCTTCAGCCTGCCCGCGGCTGCCCCGGGAGAGCACGGGTCTCAGGCGGCCGCGGCCCGGGCAGCGGCTGCCCGCTGCGGGCAGCATGGCGAACCCTTCAAGCTCTACTGCCAGGACGACGGACGCGCCATCTGCGTGGTGTGCGACCGCGCCCGCGAGCACCGCGAGCACGCCGTGCTGCCGCTGGACGAGGCGGTGCAGGAGGCCAAGGTGAGCGCAGCCCCCACCCACCCCGTGGGTCCCCGGGACCCCCTGACTTGGTCCCGCGCTCCCGCGCACGGGGTGCAGAGAACAGCCTGTCGATCAGGAGGCCCGGGTGAGCCCCTCCCTTCTTTCTCCATTCCAGGAAGCCCAGCGCTGGTTCCCGGGCTGAGCGCGGTTCTCTGTCACCCCCAACATCACCAATACCCCCACCCCACCCCCACTGCGTTTCCCTCTGGGCCAGATACTGGGCCGCCTGCGCGACGTCCCCCACGGACTTGGCGATGTTCTTCCTGTCTGTTCGGAGCCTCTAGCCTGGTCTGCGTCTCCGCAGCTCTCTGCCCGCGGGAAGTCTCCGGCACAGCCACGCAGCCGCTGCCCCCACTCTTATCTCTTTCCCCGAAGCGGGCTCTGCTCAAAGTCCCCACCTCGTGGAACTGAGTGAGAGGACCTCGCCAAGATGTCCAGGGAGGGGGCTCCCGGGTTAAGCCGCGCACCTAGAGCCGTCTGACTGTGCCAACGCTGTCGATTCTGGGGGCCCTTTCTTTGCTATTTTCTCGCTGAGCCTCAGCGAGGGTGTGTGCAGGGGTGAGGGCGGGGCGGGGAGGCTCGGGCGGCAGTCCCCAGTCTCTCCTTGCTGGCCCATCCTGCTCCAACTCTCCCAGCCACGGGGCTTCCTGGTGGGGGGGCGGAGAGTAGAGGAGACGACTAGGGGTAGGGCTGCCGGAGCTTGTGTTTCAGTCTGGCTGGTCCAGCAGATGCTTTTGGGGAAGCAAGATCCCGAGACCTTCAGAGTCACCTCGCAGTGTAACCTGTAGCCTGTAGAGATGACTTCTACCCGGCCTCCCCCTCAGTGAGCAGGGCCTTCCCTTTCTCCTGGCTGGCTCCAGGAAGGCAGAGGTGGGGGTTTCCAGAAGCCCCTCACCCCCACCTTACATTGTTTCCCTTCATCTACAGGAGCTCTTGGAGTCCAGGCTGAGGGTCTTGAAGAAGGAACTGGAGGACTGTGAGGTGTTCCGGTCCACGGAAAAGAAGGAGAGCAAGGAGCTGCTGGTGAGCCAGGCACCCGCAGGCCCCCCGTGGGACATTACAGAGGCCTGAGAACTCAGCACCAGGGCTCGGTGTGTGTGGTGTTGGAGTGTGTGCTATGGAACCGCAGAATCGATTTCAGAAAGATAATAGAGTCCATATTATATAGGGTGTCCACATAATTGTTGTACAAACCAGAGCTTTTTAAAGTGAAAAGCAGTGCTAAAATAATTATTGCAAAACAACTGGCTTAAACTGGAGCTGTCCCAGCGAATCAGGACGCTCAGTCACTCTGATATTACGTAACATACCAGTTAGGGCCTGCGGAAGCATCTTGTAATGGAACACATTACTATTTCTGCAGAGAAACATGGATATTCAATAAGTGGGAATATTAATACAATAAAGAGCCTCATGGCATGTTTTGTCAACAAAACAGTAGTGAAAAAAATTTCATGTTCACAGTGTTTTTATTTGAAATCGAGGCTAACGGAGAAGGGGCTAGAGGGCGTCAGAGCTGCTCCCTGGCTCTGGCAGAGGGAGGAAGTTTAGGGTCTTGGGTTTACAGTAGCCCCTGCTGCACAGCCCAGGGTCTTGGGTACTGGCACCTGCCTCTACCCCAAGTTGGAATGATATTTTATCTTCCTTAGGGTAGAACAGGAAAGTGAAACGAGGGCTCATTTTGGTTAAGATAAGCAAACATGAGGCCTGGCAGGGTGGCTCACGCCTGTAATCCCAGCACTTTGGGAGGCCGAGGTGGGCGGATCACGAGGTCAGGAGATCAAGACCGTCCTGGCAAACACGGTGAAACCCCTGTCTCTACTAAAAATACAAAATAGCCGGGCGTGGTGGCGGGCGCCTGTAGTCCCAGCTACTCCGGAGGCTGAGGCAGGAGAATGGTGTGAACCCGGGAGGCAGAGCTTGCAGTGAGCCGAGATCGCGCCACTGCACTCCAGCCTGGGAGACAGAGCGAGACTCCACCTTAAAAAAAAAAAAAAAGATAAGCAAACATGAATCACCATCGGTCATTTTCTACCTTGCAAATTCAGTTCCTAGCTCAGTAAATAGGTGTTGAAAGAATAAAAGGATTGGCTGGGTGCGGTGGCTTACGCCCGTAATCCCAGCACTTTGGGAGGTCGAGGTGGGCGGATCACCTGAGGTTGGGAATTCCAGACCAGCCTGACCAACATGGAGCAACCCCATCTCTACTTAAAATACAAAATTAGCCTGCCGTGGTGGCACATGCCTGTAATCCCAGCTACTCGGGAGGCTGAGGCAGGAGAATCACTTGAACCCGGGAGGTAGAGGTTGCGGTCAGCCAAGATCATGCCACTGCACTCCAGCCTGGGCAACGAGAGTGAAACTCCATCTCAAAAAAAAAAAAAAAAAAGAATGAAAGGATCTACTAGGACCTGTCAAGGCAGGGAATTGAAGGAAGGTGAACTAGAGGACCCTCCCATCCTCAATGTCAGGAGGGGTGGAGGAGGAGCCTGGAGTTCAGACACCCTAGGGTCCTTTCCAGACCCTCAACTATATCTGTTATGCCTGCACCCAGTGTGCATCCCAGACCTTCCTACCTCATCACTCACTTTCCTCCATGAGGAAGAGCTCACCCTCTAGACCTTCATCCCTCCTCCACTGGAGAAATGACTCCCAATGCAGCTCTTCCCCCACTGGTTGACATCCAGGAACCAGAGGGCCTTCCCTGGCACCGGCGGCAGCTTCACAGTCTCTGACCGGAGTCCCCAGGCCTTGCTTAACACCTTCCACCTCTGTCCTCTCCCAACATCCATCCATCCACCCCCACATTCGTTTTTGTTGTTGTTTTGTTTTGCTTTGCTTTTAGACAGAGTCTCACTTTGTCACAAAGGCTGGAGTCGTTCAAGCGATCCCCCCACTTCAGCCTCCTGAGTAGCTGGGACTACAGGTGTGCACTACTACACCCGGCTAATTTTTAATTTATTTTTTGTAGAGCTGGGGTTGGGGGTAGTCTCCTGTGTTGCCCAGGCTGGTCTGGAACTCGTGGGCTCAAGCAACCTTCTCCCCTGACTTTGCCCCCCTCAGCCTCCCAAAGTGCTGAGATGACAGGTGTGAGCTCTACCTGTTCTTTGCAGCAATAAAATACTTCTGGATTTATGACACTTGTCTCATTTACAATACCCTGCTTAATGAAACATCAGAGGTAGAGCCCAACTATTGCTGCAACACAAAAGGGAGAAGGAATGCTCTTATTTGAAAATGCTCCTACCCCAGGGGACATCTGGCAAAGTCTGGAGATACTATATTTTTGGTTGTCAACAATGGGATAGGGATGCTATTGGCATTTCGTGGTAGAGGCCAGAGGGGCGGCTAAATGTCCTACAAGGCACAGGGCAGCCCCCTACAACCAAGAAGTATCTGGCCCAAAATGTCAACTGTGTTAAGGTTGGGAAACCCTGGCTTAGAGTATTTTGGCAAATACTGTTTCACTTGTGCTACCTCCTTGTGAGGCAACTGGCCGAGAAGCCTGGCTTAACACTTCCTGGTGATGTGTCTGTCTTTTGTCTCCTCACCTGTAAGACTTGAAGGGAAGTGCACCCTCCCCACTGGGCTGCCGTCAGGGTTGAGGGAGTTAATATCCATAAGGCGCTCCAGGCTACTGCAGCCTGCCTGGAAGCTGAAGGAAAGGTGGGGGCATTGTAGGACACCTTGAACCCAGGTCTCCCAACTTCACAGGACTCCCTTCCTCCGCCCAGGAGTTTTAAGGAAGAGGAACTTCCTGGTGGGACATATTGAGTGCCAAACGTGTGTTCACATAAAAAATCAAGAGATCAGGGCATGAGTCTGCATCTGAAAACTCGAGTAAAAAATCCGGTGTATGCTGTTAATGGAAAGAACAGAATATGACACTTGCATGCCGCATATTCTCACTTCGTTCCTTGGGGGTGTGCTGCTACCTCTGGTCACTGGCATCGGACTTTTCTTCCTTCTTTCTACTTTCCTACATCTCCCAAGTTTTGTATTTTGAGCATGTGTTAGCATTATAACTGCTAAACAGGAAAGATGGCCTTTAAAAAGAAAGTGAAGTGTAAAAGTTTGAGGGTGATGAAATAAATGTGCTTGAGGAAGAAAAAGCAATCTCAGTTTAATCCTATGGTTGCCCCAGGAGGCACTAATTTATCCCTTCTGCTTTTCAAGTGAGGAAGCTGCAGCTTGGCGTAGTTCTGGGGGGAGTATGAAGCTGCCTTGGTTTAGGTGATGGAGCACAGGTCCACAGACATGTGTGGGTGCATCTGTGGCAGGGGAGAAAAGAGCATGTGTCCAGACTACAGCTTGTTCAGAGCTGGGACACTGACAATAGAGCACGCACTGCGTGCGTAGGTGGGTGTGTCTCCGATCCTCCAGCAGTGACAGGGACGAAGCCTTGCCCTGTGGGATGACTCAGGCCACTGGCCAAATGTTATGTCTCCATGTTCAAGTCCCTCTCCAACTTCTCCTCCTGGGACAGAAACAGATGGCAGCGGAGCAGGAGAAGGTGGGGGCAGAGTTCCAGGCACTGAGGGCTTTCCTGGTGGAGCAGGAGGGTCGGCTGCTAGGCCGCCTGGAGGAACTGTCCCGGGAGGTGGCACAGAAGCAGAATGAGAACCTGGCCCAGCTCGGGGTTGAGATCACCCAGCTGTCCAAGCTCAGCAGCCAGATCCAGGAGACAGCTCAAAAGCCTGACCTTGACTTTCTCCAGGTAAGTCTGGCTCAGCCAGGGGCTCGAGTCATTTATCCTAAGGCATCAGGACCAGCAGCTAGAGAACAGTGTCAGTCCTGGGGGGTCTAGGAGAATCACATGATCTGGAGCTGAAGGGGACTGGAGAGAAGTGCCCTGATTTTCCTGGGGTTGGAGGTCTAGAGAGATGTGAAAACTTTCTTGACTATGAGCCACAATAATATATATCGTATTTCAGAATCACAAGCTTGAGACAAAAGTCTCAGAAAATAATACTCACCTTTGCTACACGTATGCACTTTGATGTTTTCTATTCTATTTCGCTAAAAAAAAAGTTATAAACAACTAGATAAACTTCACAATCCATAGATGGGTTAAGAACAGTCATTATGGGGCTGAGTGAGCAGTAGGTGCATAAGGGCTGTGACCTCCCTCAGGTGGTTTCCAGGACACACGCAGCACTGGGTCCCATGGGATAGCTCCAGTGATGATTCTGTAACTAAGAAAGCAGCAAAGATAGAAAGAAAGCACGTGAAGAGTTGTGGCAAAGGGTGAGAGGTCCACTGCGTGGGTGAGACACCCTGCAGCCAGCAGCCACTGGAAGCTGCTGCCCCTGAGGCCCACGCAGGCAGTGAGGCGTGGCACACTTGCTTATGCTTACATCTGGGAGGCACAGCAAGGGGCAAGCTTTGTTTCTCAGAGGTGAATGGAGGTTACCTGATGCTGATTTGGTTTCCTCTATCTTTCCTTCCAGGAATTCAAAAGCACGCTGAGCAGGTGAGTGACCTCACAGCTCCTGGGGCCTCTCTAAGTTGCTTCTTCCCTTTTCACTGAGCCTTGTCTTTATTCCCTGTCCCCTGACCTCTCACCTCCTGATCCCCCGACTTGCTTGCCTGGGGACCTTCCGAGACAAACGCCCACCTGCCTGGCCATGGGTTTTTCTGCATGAGGTCTGGCTCTCCCTTTTCTACCTCTTTCTGCCAAGAGGACCTCGCCATCCTAATTGTCACAGCCTGTGGGAGCAAAATGGTGCACACAGGCCCTTCTCAGAGCCCTTGTCCTGCAGGTGTAGCAATGTGCCTGGCCCCAAGCCAACCACAGTCTCTTCTGAGATGAAGAATAAAGTCTGGAATGTTTCTCTCAAGACCTTTGTCTTAAAAGGGATGCTGAAGAAGTTCAAAGGTAGGGGCCTGGGCGCCAAGCTGGGCCACATAGTGCGGTGGTGGTGGAGGGTTCCTGGTAGCTCAGGGGTCCCTGGGTGTGCTTTCCAGAAGCTGTGTGTGAAAATAGGAGCTGGCTGTGCCATGGCCAGATTGGTGTAGGGGCTGTGGTGGCAAATCTAGTCAGGCCCCCGCAGGGCATGCCGCTTCTCATGGGCACAGATGGGGTAGAGGGGTACTGCTGGGGGACTGGGGTTAGGAAGAGAGCTGTGCAGGGGAGCTCAGCTCAGAGCCACTTGGGTAGAGCTAGAATGCTTGGGTATGGGCCCCCTGCCCCCCGCTCCCCATGCTTGGCCCTGTGCCTGCACGTTCACTCTTGGCCTTAGGAGTCTCTGGGGAATGAATGAGTCAGTTGGGATATAAAGAGCTGGTGACCTTGCCATATAATCTCCCGTGTCGCTCATGCACGCCTTGCTTTGTTTCTCCTCCTCAGAGGACCTTCGGGGAGAGCTGGAGAAAGAGGAGAAAGGTAGGGATGGTGCTGTGATGGCGAGTATGGACTGTCTGCCACACAGAGATCCTACTCCCTGCTCGTGACCATCTCAGGGTTTTGCATATGGTCGGTTCCTTCAGCCCACCCACCTCAGCAACCCTGTTCCTCTGTCCCCTCCCCCACACCACCCCCTCCCCATCCTGGGAGCTCTGACACCCTCAGATGTTGGCCCAAATGCTGCAGGTTGGTTAGGAGCAGGAATGCCCTGTACCTCGAGATACTCAGACTGGGAAAGGCTTCTCGGCCACCTGGGTGAGCCTCTACCCGGTCCCCACTCCAAGATGGATGGAAACCTCTCCTGGGAATGGGGTGTATACAGGGGACCAGGAAAGCAAGGGGAAGCTAAAGACTGGAAGGAATATCGTTTTTACTCTTGCAAAGCTCTGGAATGTGTGGCATCCAACACCCAGAGGAGGGGAGGGGAGGGCACATATTCCTGATGCTGATGTCTGAGCTAAGTCAGAGTGTGTCTGGGTGCCACCTAAAACACCTGAGTGAGACCAGGCCCTCCTCTGCTCAGAGCCCTGCCACAGCCCCTCTGACTTGGTAAAGGTCAGAGTCCCCATGGAGGTCTCAAGGGCCCACGGGCTCTAGCCTCACTGCACACCCCTTCTACTCCACGCAGCTACACATCCTCCCTGCTGTTCCTTCAGTGTACCAAGCACACACCCATCCCGGGGCCTTTGCACTGCCAGGCTCCCCCACCCCAGGCCCCTACCTGGAGCATGCTTTCCCCAGCCAGTCCTGTGGCCTGCTTCTTTGCCTTCTTTATATCTGTCTGCTCGATGCCCCTTTTCAGTGAGGGTCTTCCCTGGCCACTCTGGTTGAAGTTACAGCCTGCTCTTCTGGTCCCTCTCATCTTCTGTTTATAATCTATCCTCAATCCTCTCCCTGTGGGAAGGAAGCTGCAGGCAGGCAGGACTACTCTGATACTCTGTGGTACCCCCAGGGCCTCAATCGTAGTAGTGCTCACAGTAAGTGTACATATTTTAACTTTTTTTTTTTTTTTTGGAGACAAGGTATCGCTTTGTTGCCCAGGGTGGAGTGCAGTGGAACTGCAGCCTCCACCCCGCAAGCTCAAGCGATCCTCTCTCCTGGGCGTCCTCGAGTAGCTGGGACTACAGGAGCACACTACCATGCCTGGCTAAATTTTCTATGTTTTGTGGAGACGGATGTCTCGCTATATTGCCCAGGCTGGTCTCCAACACCTGGGCTCAAGCTGTCTTCCCACCTCTGCTTCCCAAAGTGCTAGGATTACAAGCATGAGCCTCTACACCTGGCCTTAACTTTTTATTATGAAAAATTTCAAACATACTCAAAAGTAGAGAGAAGAGTGTAAAGAATGTTACATACCCATCTCTCACCGTCCGCAGTGATCAATTAGTGGCCACAGTTTTCATAGACACTGCTATCCACTTCCTGTGGGATTATTTTGTTTTCTGAGACAGGGTCTTACTCTGGAGTGAGATCATGGAGTACAGTGGCCTGATCTCTGCTCACTGCAACCTCTGCCTCCTGGGTTCAAGCGATTCTCATGCCTCAGCCTCCCAAACAGCTGGAATTACAGGCACAGGACACCATGCCGGGCTAATTTTTGTATTTTTAGTAGAGAAAATACAAAACAAGTTTTCCGCCATGTTGCCCAAGCTGGTCCCAAACTTCTGACCTCATGTGACCCATTGGCCTTGGCCTCCCAAAGTGCTGGTATCGCAGCTGTGCACCATCTCACCCGGCCTCCACTGTATTATTGTTATTATTATTTTTATTTTTGAGACAGAGTCTTGCTCTGTCGCCCAGGCTGGAGTGCAGTGGCGTGATCTCAGCTCACTGCAATCTCCACCTCCCGGGTTCATGCCATTCTCCTGCCTCAGCCTCCCGAGTAGCTGGGACTACAGGCGCCCGCCACCACGCCCGGCTAATTTATTTTATTTTTTTATTTTTAGTAGAGACGGGGTTTCACCATGTTAGCCAGGATGTTCTTGATTTCCCGACCTCGTGATCCACACACCTTGGCCTCCCAAAGTGCTGGAATTACTGGCGTGAGCCACTGCGCCTGGCCTACTGTATTATTTTAAAGCATCAGAGACAACATATCATTGCCATAAATACCTCAGTGTGTTATCTCTAAAGAAACAGACTTTGTAAAACATAACCACAAAGCAGTCCTCACACCTGGACAGATTAATGATTCTTTCCAATGTCTAGCATTCAAATATCCCCATCTGTTGAATTGGGGTTCAAACCAGGCCCACACATTGCATTTGTTTGATTTCAGTAAGTACTTGTTGAGTGGTCGGGGCGGGGGGAAGCAAAATCTCTGGGAGGCAGAGCGTGGGGGTTGGTTGGGCCTTGGCGCTGGGTGCTGGGGGGATTCTAGAGGGAAAGGCAGGCAGGTTGCAAAGCAAGGTCGGGCGCGGCCCTGCAAAGACTGTGCCAGGGGCCTGGCTGCGTGGGGACATTTCTCCCTGTCTCTGTCTGCAGTGGAGCTCACCTTGGATCCCGACACGGCCAACCCGCGCCTCATCCTCTCTCTGGATCTTAAGGGCGTGCGCCTCGGCGAGCGGGCCCAGGACCTGCCCAACCACCCCTGCCGCTTCGACACCAACACCCGCGTCCTGGCGTCCTGCGGCTTCTCCTCGGGCCGGCATCACTGGGAGGTGGAGGTGGGCTCTAAGGACGGCTGGGCCTTTGGCGTGGCCCGCGAGAGCGTGCGCCGAAAGGGCCTGACGCCCTTCACTCCCGAGGAGGGCGTCTGGGCCCTGCAGCTCAACGGCGGCCAGTACTGGGCCGTGACCAGCCCCGAGCGGTCGCCCCTCAGCTGCGGGCACCTGTCGCGCGTGCGGGTGGCCCTGGACCTGGAGGTGGGAGCCGTGTCCTTCTACGCTGTGGAGGACATGCGCCACCTCTACACCTTCCGCGTCAACTTCCAGGAGCGCGTGTTCCCGCTTTTCTCTGTTTGCTCCACGGGCACCTACTTGCGAATCTGGCCTTGAGGGGCACTGCTGGGGAGCTCCTGTCTCTGGGCTGCCGGTGGGAGGGGATGTCGCCTCCCCAGAGATGCCTGGTCCGTCTTGGGTCTGCCCTCCGTGCTCCTGACCCCTGCTGCCCAAGAGAGCCTGCTACAGACACAACCCCGAGGCAGGAGAGTGACTGTGGCCAACCGAGCAGGGGAACAGGGGCTTTGGACTCCTGAGGGTGTTCCCTTCCTGAGGTCACATGTGGATTTGGCCAGAGCCTTCAGGAGGTGGAGGCCGGTGAGGTCAGGAGCCCAGCTCTCCAGGGGGCTTCTGCCCTGACTGGGAAGGGTGCCTGGCTCCCTAAAACAATGTCAAAGCCAGTCCTGCTGTTCTCTGTTGCCAGGGGGCAGGTCTGGGCCTGGGCCAACCACGTTTGTTATCATGGCTGCTGCCTTCTGGACAGCTGCCAGCTCTGCCTTGAGAGGTTGTGGGACCTCTGGATCCAGCTGACCTGACAGGTCATCTACTCAGGGAGGAGCCCTGTGCTCCCAGCTCAGAGGACAGTCTGGGCCAGAACTGGAAGGAGACATCTGTCCCGTCTTTGAGTGACAAGCCCGGGACAACAGCCAGTGGGCATCACGGCTCTCCAGCACTCCTTAGCCGGAGGATACAGAGTGATGGGTGCATCCTGACCAATGCGACAACCAACACGTGCTCTCACAAACCCCTGACTCCCGCACTTTCCAGTGCCAAAGTACAAACGCTGCTTGGATAAGGAGAGCAAAGCTTCTGGAACTTTATTTACTCTTTCTTTTTAATTTTCTTTTAAGAGACTGGGTCTTGCTATGTTGCCCAGGCTGGTCTTGAACTCCTGGCCTCAAGTGATCCTCCAGTTTCCATCTCCCTAAGAGCTGGGATTACAGGTGTGAGCCGCTGTACCCGAACTTTTTTTGTTTTTGCTTCTGGAACTTTGAAACACAAAACACAAGTTGGCACTTACAATTTTAAAGATGCAGCCAGCTCTAAACAACACACAGAGCACAAATATGCTCCTGACGGACTCAGGAAAATGCCAACAGCAGAGCACCCTGGTGCCAAGGCCTTCTCAGCCCATGCCCTGGAGGGCATTCCCCTGGCCAGCCTCAGCCCCTTGTCTACTTGTTCTCCAGCTTCTGGGTAGCTGGGCTTCTGGAAGGGTGGCAGTGGGCTACTCCCTGCTCAGCGCTCCCCTGGGAAGGGGGTGAGGAGATGAAAATGAAACTATGAGCTGTCTTTGGAGTTGGCTTGGCCCATTTTCTACTCCCTAGATCTGAGTGCAGGAGCGTAAGTGTGATCAGGGTTTCTGCCAGAGTGAATGAGCATGCATGTTTCTGTGTGGGAGGAGTGTGTATTTGTATCTCACCTTTCTTGGGGGTGTGTGTGTGTATTTTGGAGAGGGCATTTATGAGCATGTGCATAAGGTTCAGGTGTTGCAAACAGACCCAAGTCAGTCTGGTCATACCCTATTGTTGATTTGTTGTTAAATACTGACCACCTCATATTTAGACAAGGGCCACAGGTTTCTTCTCTCACTACCTGGCTACCAGGCTAGATGAACAGAATACCAGACTCGGACCTAATTCTGTCCCACACAAGTTATTTAGACAGAGGTGCTGGCAAACAGGGGCAATGATAGCTGAATAGCCCTGTGTCATGGAGCTTCAGTGCTCTGTCTCTGAGGTGCTTCAAGCTCACCTGGCATATAGGGTTCTCGTGGGGCAGCCACAACACTATCCCAGAGGCAGGCCCAGTTGACACAGCACCAGACAATCAGAATACCGCATCCTCCAGGCTGAGGACAGGGTCATTTCAAAGTCCTGCCTACAGAAGCATTCCAGAGAGTGAATCCTATGTCCTGCTCATACATGGAGAGCAGCTCTAAAACCGGGTAGCCAATTCAGGCATTTGAATACCACTGATTTCCACAAGGAAAACCGATCTCTAACATTAATTTCCTAACTGAATCACCTATTGTTACCGTTAAGCCTTAATGTTATCTGGCTTGTATGGCTTTTTGATTAAGTATCATAATTCCCTTTGTACCATCCAACAAATGTGCTGGGCATCACAACACACATTACAGGTCCCAGAAAGTACCATGTCTGGTGAAGGTGTCACATGAGGGTCAGGTCTGGGGACTGGGAGTAGCTGTCCGCATGTTTATTTTCCGTTTTTGTGTCCATGAGTGCAATCGTGTGTCTATCAGAGTGTGTGTGTTTGCAGAGTGACTACATATATAGCTATGTATCTTAAGAAATGTAACAACAGTTACTGTAACAATTGCATAGAGAAGGGAACAGATGTTCTTTCTTGCTAACCAGGGCAGTACAGTAACTTGGATGTCAGGATGCTGGTGTCCTCGAGGGCATGTGTGTGCATTTCCCTCTCCTAGACTCTGGGCATCATAAACTCTAGGGACCTCTGGGTCTGTGAGAACAACTGGCCTAACTTGGGCCCTTCTTATTCAACCCATCAGTCCTAGCTGCTGACCCATAAGCGCAGGCCTCTGCCGCCAGACCCTCACAGGGACCCTCAGCATCCAGAATGGGGGGCACCTAGAGGCCCACCTCTGGCCTGGCCGCCCAGTGACCCAAGTCACCCGGCATTGCAGGGAGCACAGGGCAGGCTAGGCCACCAGACCAAGGTCCACCTCCTACACCCACCACTTTCTGTCCTTTGCCAGGCTGAGCCCTCATCCTTTTCCCCTCTCCTCCGGCCCGTGGGCCCTTTAAGGGCCCTGACAGAACATGTCAGGGTGTACCCTAAAAGCTGCCTTTTCCTACTTCATCCAAATGTGAGACGGGGCTGGCACCCACCCGCAACCTCGCCTGGACCCTTCCCACCCCAGCGCCTCCAAACACCTGGCCCTCCTGATTCCCCGCCTCCCCCGCCACACTCCCGCTGGGCCTCCACCTCCTGATGACCCCACTGTTCCCCCACCGCCCAGCTCGCCCCAGGTCCCGCCCTAACCTCTCGGATCTGGACTCCCTGCAGGACGGGCGCACTGACACCCTTCCCTGACCTTTCCATAGCCTTGACCTGGATCCCCGCTTCCTCACGCACAGCAAGACGCAAAACGTGCTCCCCAATCCTGCGCACGCCCTTCCCTGGCCCCCGCCCCGCCCAAGGCCCGGGGCGGTCCTCACAGCTCGGAGCTCGGCGGTGCCGCCCCGCCCCGACAGCTCCCGCCCGCGCGCGCGCCCAACGACGGCACTGTCTTCGCGGAGCCCTCTGCCGGGACTAACGGCCGTTCCGTGCCACGGACGCACGGGCAAGATGGCTGCGGCCGTGGGAGGAGCTTGGGTCCAGCAGCCACAGAACTCGGCCGAGGGTTCAGCGGACTGCGGCTGCGCGGCGCCGGCGACAGCGTCAACTGCTTTTGTGTCAAAAGGAAACCAACAGCCGGCTCCATAGCTCAGGGGTTAGAGCACTGGTCTTGTAAACCAGGGTCGCGAGTTCAAATCTCGCTGGGGCCTGCTTCCGTCTTTTCCTATTCTTTCCTTAAAGATAGAAAAGTGGAAGATAGGCAAGCCTACTTCCGCCTTCCTGGGAGGCCAGAGCCTGGCGGAGTCACTTTCTTTTTGCCTCTAAGATACCCACCGCGCAAGGCTACTTTCCTACCACTTCCTTATCTCTTGAAGAGTCAGACCCACTGCGGGCTTCCTTTTCCATCACGGGTTCCCTGGGCCCCGCGCGCCCTCTCCCCACGACCCCGCTCACTTCCTTCTGCGCGCTCCCCGGGAGCGTCTTTCCGCTTCTCTCCGGTCTTCCCACTCCAGCTAGGGACTCGCCCTCGTGTCTCCTTCCCTCTCTCCAGGGGGAGACGATGGCACTACCGCGCCCCTTCCCGCCATGCGTTTGTTTGCGGCGTTCCCCGACGCGCGCGCTGAGGCTCTGGTCTGCGGCTCTGCGCTTGGCGGCTGCGCGCCCTCGGCCTTCGGGTCCCCGCCGCCTCCGTGCTGCAAGGTCTGATTTCTTCCTGTGGAGTTAACACGGAAAAGCGCAGACGGCCACATTCATGACCCGGGAGTAACGGCTCTACCTGTCACATTCGCTTTCAGCCTAAAACAAAATTTTAGTTTATTTTAGACAAAATATATAACTAAGGTATGCTGGCCTTCTGACTGATTTATTCTTGCTGTTAACGGAAGTGTAGAAAGTGAGCCCAAGTCCTCAGTGAACAGTGGGGGCGCTGCCCAGGTGCAGGACTGGCCCCCTGGGGGTCTCGGGACGGCTCCCGCCTCCGTCTTCCCCGCACCGCGCACTTTGGAGGCCTGGGCACAGGTGGAGGCGGCGCTGGGTCCCGCCGTACACTCCCCTGTCGCAGGCGCCCTCTCTCCAGCCGGAGGGAACCTCAAAAAAGCTCTGAGCGAGTCCCCGTCCCAGGTGGGGCCGCGGCTTATACCGGGACCACTCCAGGGTAGCTCAAGGTTCGAAAACGGAATCCCTGTCCGGTGAACCAGAGAAGAGAAAATCGCTCGGGGCCACCTGGGTAGAGACCGGAGGGGTGACTGCCTTGACTGGGAGGCGTGGAGGAGCGAGCGGGGTCTGCGGCTCCGGCCGGGAGGTATGCGCTTCCCTCTCTCACCCATGCCTGCTCCGGTCCAAAGAGCCGAGACCGTGGGTCAAGACCGGGATGGATTCGCTCGGGAGAGGCCAGGAGCCTGCCAGCACGTTCGGGCACTAGCGCTCCCGGGGCTCCTCGGACTCGTGGACCCCGAAACGCCTGCCCCACAGGAAGATCACCCCACTGTAGAAGTCGGGTCACGGGGACCAGTGGCGAGCTACCTGACGGCTTAACTACAGATACCCTCCCGACGAAAGCCGTGGACTCCCAGGGTGCGTGCGTCTGCTTGTGTGTGGGGGTGTTGGCAGGCGGTCCCCATAATCATCGAAGAGACAGGTGGATGAACCTCAGGCCTCGCACTCGGGGGCTCTCAGAGTCTGGGCGTTACAGCCGCTCCCGTACACTCACGGGTCACCTGGCTGAATCAGGTGGGATCTGGGTGAGGTGCCGGGAGGTCTCCCAGGCTGGCGCTCCTGTCCAGCTGCTGGGGGAGGCGTGGGTGCGAGGCTTGGGACAAGGGAGAGCTATGCCGGGTGGGGAGGACCCTTGGGGCGGGTCCGTTCACCTGAAATGTTCACTGCTGGAAGAGCCGAAAGCCAGCCACGGCACCCAGGGGAGTCCAGCGTGGAGAGGCAGAGAGGAGGGGCGAGGACAGTGGCGGTCGCAGACGGCGGAGCAAGATCGCCGAGCGTGCGAATGGAAAAATGAGCATTGTTTCCTCGGAGTAGCTTAACCACCATCCCACGCTGTTTTACAGCAGTGTAGGAAATGTCTCTGCTGGTGACACAAAAATAAACCTGTGCATCAGCTCTGAGTAGATTATCGCGAATTTTACAGCAGGAAACCGCATCACTATTTTTACTACTAAATAAACCAGTGCAATTAAAGTGCGCAGGGCGAGAGTAGGTCTGAGGCGAGAAAAGAGGAGCGCGCCCGCCCAGCTCGAGCCTCAGGCTTGCCCTGTGCTGGAGGCGGCCCGGGGGCAATCCCGGGAGAATGCTGCGAGGGCTGTGAGCCAGGACCCCGACTCTGCACCGCGGGAGCGCGCGCGCGTGGGTCCCAGCCTCCGAGCTGTGCAACAACCCCGTGGCTAGAGTCTCCACGAGAAGACAGAGTTCCTGGTCATCGGTCGTTTCCGCCTTACACTTTCCTACATTTCCTGAAGATTTTGCAAATGGGTATGCACTGTTTATTATCTTTTCATAAAACGGTAAGAGCGGCTTCTGGGGGCTCCTCACCCAGCCGGTCCGGCGTTCCTTCCCTCTCAGCACTGCGCTCTCTCCCGAGCCCTCCGGCTCTACCAACCTCTGTGTCCTGCCCCTGGGCCTCAAGATTTGCGCCTTTCTTGGACTCGCTTGGGAAGGGGCGCCCAGGCTGCAGAACGGATGGACGCTCCTGCCTGCTACTCGAGTGGATCGAGCAGGGAGGCGCTCATTCGGATTCCAGGAGACCAGAGGACACAGGACATAGGGAGCGTTTACCCTGTGTGGAGCTACCTGCGGCTGAGAATTAGTGGCAGACGCGGAGATGGGCAGCGGGGACAAGTTGGGCTTGGGAGACTATAAGACCTTGAGAATGGGTTCAAGCTGCCAGACGGAAATCCGCCTTTTCGGTGAATCGAGCCATGAAGAACACAATCATGAAAAGATTCAGCGAGCAACTAGACAGCCGGCTCGTTGGTCTAGGGGTATGATTCTCGCTTTGGGTGCGAGAGGTCCCGGGTTCAAATCCCGGACGAGCCCACTTTTTCATTTTTTTTTTTCCATTTCAACTGAAGTTCTTCTTGTTCAAATCCTGGATGAGCCAGCTTTTTAAATTTCAACTAAATTTTGTGTTACCTTGACAGTTTTGATCCCGAAAGATGTCCAGCGGAGGCATCACCAAGATTTCCGGGAGTGCTGGGGATTGGAAAGAATCGTGGATAGGAGACTAAGCGAGCCGTCCCGGAAGCAACAGTTGCTGTGAAGACTTTGGGCACAGACCTGCACGTGAGAGTATGCTCTTGAGGGTTGTGGGGGCTCTCCTTTTACAGCTAGGGATCACTTGTCGAACGTACCCGGAGAGTAGCTGCTAGCAGACAATATTATGGCGACAGAGGTAGGTGTGGGTTTCCGTAGTGTAGTGGTCATCACGTTCGCCTAACACGCGAAAGGTCCCCGGTTCGAAACCGGGCGGAAACATGCCACAGTGTTTTTTTTTTTTTTCCCCCCCCTTTCTTTTGAGATGGGGTTTCGCTCTTGTTGCCCAGGCTGGAGTGCAATGGAGTGATCTCGGCTCACAGCAACCTCCGCCTCCCAGGTTCAAGCCATTCTCCTGCCTCAGGCTCCGGAGTAGCTGGGATTACAGGCATGCGCCACCACGCCCGGCTAATTTTGTATTTTTAGTAGAGACGGAGTTTCTCCATGTTGGTCAGGCTGGTCTCGAACTCCGGACCTCAGGTGATCCGCCCACCTCGGCCTCCCAAAGCGCTGGGATTACAGGCGTGAGCCACCGCGCGCGGCCCCGAAGCGGTTATTATCTCATTACACGCTCTTATTACACTGGAGACTAACCTAGAAGATCCCACTAGTATGTCCACCTGGTGGTCACAGCGGCACAAAGAGAAGAGGGCATCTACGCTTTTGCTTTCCATTCCCAACCACCCGCACCTGTGAACTCAATCCAGTTTTACTTGCTGTGGACAAGCTCGGCACAGAGCTCATCCACTGGACAGCGGCACGCTGCCAAATGGAACCCCGCATCTCGAGTATGTGTGGGGCCCATTACTCCTTTTGTAACCCATAGGGGACAAAAGTGACAAAACTACCACAAACTGGCAGCGGTGGGATTCGAACCCACGCCCCCGAAGAGACTGGAGCCTTAATCCAGCGCCTTAGACCGCTCGGCCACGCTACCTCTTTGCCGCTGGGTATTTACATATTTTCCTTCAGTTATGAAGCGTGCGAAGGGGCTCTGGGCCAACAGGGAGTTGGGGCGAATCCACAGGGCAGGACCATGGCAGGATCCGCTCCGCCAAAGCCACTGGCTGGGAAACGGCTCCACCAGTGCCCTGACACAGGATTCTCAATGCCCAGGCCTCAGGATCTGCTTTAGGAAGGCCAGTCATAAAGCCACCCTCTTTGGGGAATGCACTCCAGAGCAGGGGAAGACTTCGACACTCTCACTTCAAAAAATCAAAAACAAATACAATGAAAAATAAAATAAAATAAAAACCTAAAGAAAAACAAGCAAAAAACCCCAGCCTGGGCAACATGGCGAAACCCTGTCTCTACAAAAGATGTAAACATTAGCCGGGCGTGATGGTGTGTGACCATAGTCCTAGCTACTCAGGAAGCTGAGCCCAGGAGGTCGAGGCTGCAGTGAGCCGAGATCGCCCCACTGCACTCCAGCCTAGGTGACAGAGCAAGACCCTGTACCAAAACCAATCAAACAAAAACAAAACAAAACAAACAAAAAGCCCCAACAACAACAAAGCAGACAACAAACTGAGAGTATGTATTGACTTTATGAGTCATGAGCAGAAACGTTCTTAGCAACTTCATTCATAATAACTCACTTATGGAAACAGTCCAAATGCCCACCATCTTCACATTGGATAAATAAAATTGTGTACAGTCTTATTTTATTTTATTTTTTTATTATATATATAGTCTTATATGGGATTATTATAACACTGATAATGAGCTTACTGCTGCAAACAGCATGGACGGATTTCACCGTCATCAATGTTGAGCAAATGCAGCCAGACACCAACGATCTGCATTCTATTGATTCCACATATGACATTCACACACGAGCCAAACTAATCTATGGTGACAGAAGTTAAAAATCCTGTCACTTGGGAGAAGGAGGTGCAGGTACTGACTTGCAAGGGACATGAGGAATTTTTTGTAATGCTGGAAATGTTCCTTTTCGATCTGGATGATAGGTACACACGTGTATTCAATTCCATGCGCACTTAAGATCTCTGTACATATGAAATCTTTACACAGTACAGATATATCTGTATGAAAATTGTTTCTTAAAACATGACTTTCTTAGTTGGAAAGGCTATTGTTTTAGATTTTACTGGTGTGTAACAAATTACCACACACTTAGTGTCTTAAGACAGCACAGATTTATTATCTCGCTTTTTGTGGAGTACAAGTTAGCAAGATCTTCTACTGATACCGCAGCAGGTGACATCACAATGTTGGCCATTGCTGCAGCCTCATCTGAGGCAGGGGGGTTCTCTTCCAGCCTCCCTGGTTGTTGACAAAATGCATTTCTTTGTGGCTGTGGGACTGAAATCTCCTGTTTGCTTGTTGGCTGTCAGCTGAGGGCCACTCTTGGCAACCAGAGGCCCCTTTCCTTGAGGCCAGCGGTGCACGGTGTTTCTGGAACTCCACCTTCTTTTAAAGGGCTCACCTGATTAAGTCAGGCCCACCCAGGATAATCTCCCTTTTGATTTATCAAAATCAACTGACCAGGAACCTCAATCACAGCTGCGCAATCCTTTGTTCCGTAAAATGTGGCATGGTTGTGGGAGTGACATGCCATCACGTTCACTCATAGGCAGGTGGTCTACAGGGCGTGTGCGCCGGGTGGGAATCTTAGGGGCCACCTTCGAGTTCTCTCTATGACAGTTTCAGGCCAGAGAACCAAATACGGTAGAGCCTCCCAGCAGAAACGCCTTTCCAAGTTCCTTACCTGTCTTTGTATTTGTAACTTGTTGAAAGAAGCCCCTGGGAGGGGATGAGGGGTCCTGTGCTTCCTCATTGCTGTGTGGCCACGCTGGCTTCCTGTGTCCACTTGGCATCCTCAGGCTAGGTGGGCATCCCGTTGTGTTGCAGAGTGATCGGGAGACAGAGGCCGCCTCTACCAGCGCTCAGCCCCCGAGGCGCTCCTGGAGCACGTGCCAGGCTCTGTTCGGTCCCCTCCAGCCTGTTCTTTCAGTTCCGGAGGATTTCCTATTTCTACGTTTAGACACTAAACCTTTTTCATTAACATGTGCTCACTGTGGAATAATTAGACACACCTAAGAAGAAAAAGTAGAGTAAATGAGCTTAAAGAACATAAAAAGCGTCCTCAACCATGCCACACATATTGCTATTATTTTGTTTTAGAGCTTTTAAGACTATTTTCATGGATACTTTAACTTATTTGTCTTATATTTATATATATATATTTTTGAGGCAGGGGTTGGGGGTGGTTTACGCAGTTTAGCCCAACCTGGGCTCAACCTCCTGTGCTCGATCCATCCTCCCGCCTCAGCCTCCTGAGTAGCTGGGATTACAGGCGTGTGCCACCCTACTCAGCTCGACAAGCTATGTTATTTACTTATTTACATTTACATATTTATTTATTTTTCAAACGGGGTCTTGCTCTGTCACCCAGGTTGGACTGTAGTGGCACAAACACAGCTCACTGCAGTCTCGACCTCCTGGGCTCCAGCGATTCTCCCACCTCAGGCTCCGGAGCAGCTAGAACCACGGGTGCGTACCACCACGCCTGGCTAATTTTGGTATTTTTTGTAGAGACGAGTTTCGCCATATTGCCCAGGTTGATCTCGAGCTCCTCTTGCCTAGGCCTCACAAACTGCTGGGATTGCAGGAGTGAGCCACCGCGCCTGGCCGAGCTCTTTTTTTGTTGTTTTTTGGTTTTTTTGTTTTGTTTTGTTTTGTTTTTGTTTTTGTTTTTGAGACGGAGTCTCGCTCTGTTGATCAGGCTGGAGTGCAGTGGTGCGATCTCAGCTCACTGCAAGCTCCGCCTCCCGGGTTCACGCCATTCTCCTGCCTCAGCCTCCCGAGTAGCTGGGACTAGAGGCGCCCGCCACCACGCCCGGCTCATTTTTTTGTGTTTTTAGTAGAGACGGGGTTTCACCGTGTTAGCCAGGATCGTCTCGATCTTCTGGCGTCATGATCCACCCGCCTCAGCCTCCCAAAGTGCTGGGATTACAGGCGTGAGCCACCGCGCCCGGCCCCGAGCTATGTTTTAATAAGAATACTTTGCATTGTGTTTTGTAACTTGCCTTTTAAAAAGTACTTAACTTCGCTGGAAAGATTCCATAGTAAAAAGAAAAAGAAAAAAATACTCAACAAAGGTACTGTGATGCCACTCATTCCTACATTTTATTTTTCGCCTTTATGAAATTGTAAACAAAGAGCCACAGGCCGCGCTGGGGTAGGGGAGGGGTCGCCCTTCAAAACGCCACCAGGGGACCCCATGGCCGTGTTTTTTGTTAACCGTTCACAGCTCCCTCTAGGAACCTTCAGATGCTCTATGATGAGTGCAGTTTTCCGCGACTCTTTCAAATTCTTGGGTCGCCGCCGCACACGTGACCGCTCGGGGGCGCTCAGGACTCCACCGCGGCGCGGCTCTGGTCCTGGCGGGGGCGCGATGCAGGCTCGGCGCTGTGCAGATCGCGCCGCCCAGGGTCCCTCGCCCCGGGATCTCGGCGCGCAGGTCTTGCAGCGCCAGACGCAGCGGAGCCCGGGCCCAGGGCTGCAGGAGGAGAGGGGACCTGGGCCCGCCGGAACTCCCTGTATACCACAACCAGACCGCAGCAGGATTGGTATCAGCGGGAAGAAGAAAACAGCCCACAACACCATTTTCATTGTTCCAGTGTTTGGAAGAACTCTAGATATCTAAGCAGCCACTGTTGTTGAACATTTAGACTCAGATTTTTTTTTTCCCCCCATTGCAAGATTATCCTTGTGGCTCAATCTCTGTATAACATCATAATGATTATATAGAGAAATAAATATCTAGTGTAGTTAATGGGCCAAAATTCTATATATTTTTTTCTTTTTTTGAGATGGAGTCTCGCTCTGTCGCCAGGCTGGAGTGCAATGGCGTGATCTCCGCTCACTGCAAGCTCCGCCTCCCAGGTTCAAGCGATTCTCCTGCCTCAGCCTCCCGAGGAGCTGGGACTACAGGCGCCCGCCACCGCGCCTGTGGTGTGTTTTTACGCCTGGTGTTTTTCACGCCTGGCTAATTTTTGTATTTTTAGTAGAGACGGGGTTTCACCGTGTTGGTCAGGCTGGTCT
Source organism: Homo sapiens (assembly GCF_000001405.40). Lineage (NCBI taxonomy): Eukaryota > Metazoa > Chordata > Mammalia > Primates > Hominidae > Homo > Homo sapiens. The sequence continues at coordinate 181,183,567 of NC_000005.10, read as the reverse complement.
CGATCTCCTGACCTCGTGATCCGCCCGCCTCGGCCTCCCAAAGTGCTGGGATTACAGGCGTGAGCCCCCGCGCCCGGCCGGGATTATCGTGTTCTTGCGGCTGAGTGGTGCTCTGCTGCGCATCCACCTCGGTGCCTCCGCCCACTCCTGCACCGACGGCCGCTGCCTTTGCTCGCAGATCTGGGCTATTGTGAACAGCGCTGCGGTAAACGTGGCGGCACAGACATCTCTCGGGCAAACCGAGGATGCGATACGGATACTTCCTCCGTCATTTCCACTCCCCTTTCTCCAGGCCCTGAAGCTCCGTCTCCACGCCCGAACTCGTGGCCTCCCATTCCCCAGGCAGCTTCTCCCGAATGTCCCCTCTCAGAAACCGGTGCCAGCGCGTCCCCGCTGTGCCACCCCCAAGCCCACTGCCAACCCCGCACAGTTCCGCGTCCGCCGTCTCCTCTCCCTGCGGTCGCTGCCACACCCTCTCGTCCGGTCTCCCATGCCCCCTTATGCTACCGCGTCGGGCATGAAAACTTCCTTTTCTTTCTTTTCTTCTTTTTGTTCAAGACGTTTCCCTCTGTCACCTAGGCCGGAGCGCAGTGCTGCGATCACGGCTCACTGCAGCCTCCACCTCCTAGGCTCAAATGAGTCTCTTACCTCAGCCTCCCAAGTAGCTGGGACTACAGGCATATGCCACCACACCTGGCTGATTTTTATTCTTCTATGTTTCAGTAGAAATGGGGTCTCCGTACGTTGTACAGGCTGGTCTGCAACTGCTGGGTTCCGGCGATCCTCCTGCCTCAGCGTTCCAAGTCTGGTAGTTCCTTTTCTTATGTGCTCAGCCCCATTAGCCAAGCTTAAAGGGACACATGGACAAAGCTCAGGATTATAATCAGAAATAGAACAGGGCTGGGTGCGTCGGCTCACACCTGAAGTCCCAGAACTTTTGGGAGGGAGAGGTGGGTGGATTGATTGAGTCCAGGTGTTTGAGACCAGCCTGGGCAACATAATGAGACCTTGTTTCTATTTATAAAAACGACAACAACAGGAGAGACACTTGCCACGGGTGACAGGAGACCAGGAGAAAACCAGAAGGAGAATGTGGAGTCCCAGCATCCGCTGTCCTGAGAGCCTGAGGGCCTCCTCCAGGAACTGCACCTTCGCAGGGACCCGGCACTTCGCACTCTCTCCCCGGACACCGCGGGCGGATGTGTGCACAGACTTAAGGCCCCCAAACCCTCTTTTAGTGGATGCTGTGGATGATTTCTCATCTTAGTGCACACTCTCATAAAACACCCGCTCACTAAGATGAAGACGTTCTTAGTTATGCTCGTAGCACAGTCATGCCCACCTCATGCAAGTCACATCTGCAGACTTAGTCCCTGATTGCACGTCTACCTATGCTGCCACTTGACCTAATTATAGGCCACAGTCAGAAGGAACCTCTTGCTGTTGGCGCCATCTCCTGCCTGTAGGCGGAGGTGAAGGCCTGGCCCCGAGAAGGCCGAAAGATTCCCTTTCCTAGGAGGCGGGGATAACAGGGGATCTGTGAATCTGGGTGGGAACAATAGCAGAACTCATGTTTTTCCTAATCACGAACTGAAAGAGGGTTTTCCATTCAGAAAGGAGGCTGCAATCCACAGTAGAATTAACACGACCTTTATTGCTAATGGAAATCACAGATGCGGCTGAGGCGGGAGGATCGCAGGAGCCCCAGAGGTGGAGGCTGCAGCGAGCCAAGGTTGTGCCACTGCACTCCAGCCTGGGCAGCAGAGGCAGACTCTGTCTCATACACCAGCAAAACACAAAGAAATCACAGGTCCTTTCATATCACATGTCAAATCATAGTTCTTGTAGGCACTTTGAAATATCACTTATGCTCATTAGTACTTAAAAATTATGGTAATTGTCCTGGCAGTGTGACTCACAGCTGTAATTCCAGCTATTTGGGAGGCCAAGGTATTTGAATCGCTTGAGGCCAGGAGTTTGAGACCAGCAAGGGCAACATAGGGAGACCCCATCTCTACAAAAAATGCAAAATATTAGCCAGAAATGGTGGCATGCACCTGTAGCCCCAAGTACTTGAGAGGCTGAGGTGGGAGGATCCCTTCAGCCCAGGAGGTCATGGCTGCAGTGAGCTAGGTTCTTCCCACTGCTCTCCAGCCTTAGCAACAGAGCAAGACCCTGTCTCAAAAAACCAAAACCAAAAACAAACAGAAAGAAAGCATTATTCTGAGAAGGAGTCCATAACTTTCACCAGACTGGTAGTCCATGGCCACCCATCTTTAAAAGGGCTCAGACTCGGCTGGGCGTGGTGGCTCACACCTGTAATCTCAGCACTTTGGGAGGCTGAGGCAGGTGGATCACTGGAGGTTAGGAGTTCAAGACCAGCCTGACCAACATGGTGAAACCCCGTCTCTACTAAAAATACAAAAAATTAGCCAGGCATGGTGATGGGTGCCTGTAATCCCAGCTACTCAGGAGGCTGAGGCAGGAGAATCACTTGAACCTGGGAGACAGAGGTTGCAGTGAGCTGAGATGATGCCACTGCACTCCAGCCTGGGCAAAAAGAGTGAAACCCTGTCTCAAAAAAAAAAAAAAAAAAGCCTCAGAGTCTTGCAAATAGTACAAAAGAGTTGTGGGTCAAAGGTGGAACATGAAGTCCCCCTTTGATAAATGAGTGAGTGACTTTCGGAGAACCAAAAGCCCCACAGATCCAAGAGTAGTCAAGTAGGGCTGCTAGAAGAGCCCCATGCTTGTGAGTCAGGAGGGAGGTGCTGGTGGCCTCATCCAGGGCACTGTCAGGGGACAGGTTGGTGACAGCTGAGGTGCCACCTGGGACTGGCCAGGGCCAGAGGTGATTGAACTTTTGCAACGGATGTCCCCAGCTGAGAGTGAGGACTGTGCAGGGTTGGCTTGTTGAATCAATGAAGGATTATTACCAATCATATATTTTCTTTCCATTCATTCATTCATTTATTTATGTGCCTAACTCCTGTCCCACATCCTGTCTAGGTGCTAAGGGGACAAAGGTTCCTGGCCTCAGCACACTCTCAGATTCACAGGGAGACAGAACTGAGACTGAGAGCTGGTTCCTCTCCCTCTCTCGTGGGGATACAGTGAGAAGGCAGCTGGGCAGAAATCAGGAAGAGGATCCTTACCAAGAACTGCAGTGTGCTGCACCCTGATCTAGACTTCCAGCCTGCGAAACTGTGAGAAATCAATGTCATTGTTTGAGCAGCCTGGCATATGGTATTGTGTTACAGCAACCCGAACCAAGACAAAGGTTCTCAGCTGGGGAGACAGAAACTCATCTGGAGCCTGCACTCCCCCTGGGGAGGGGAAGATGCCTGTCGACCTGGACAGAGGGCCTGGACAGAGGCAGCCCTGGGCTGAGTTGGCCCTTGCTTGCCGCTTCTCCTTGGGAGCACTGGGACAGGATCCCAGAAGGTTCCAGAATGCATGTCAAGCAAGCAGCAGTCCCTGTGGAGTTTGGGGTAACATGCACAGAGGAAGAAATGGCGGAAAAGCAGCATCAGGATGGCTTTAGGGCAGGGAGCTGCTGGAAGGTGGCAGACAGAGTGAGCAGGGGCAGGAGATGGGCCAGCGAGGCACCCGCTGACATGGAAGTGCCGTCATGCGCTGCACAGCAACCTTCCAGGCAAGGAGGGACACGTGCATGACAGTGGTCCCATGACTATGATGGAGCTGAAGAATTCCTATGGCCTAGGGATGTCATAGCCGTGGTACTGTCGTAGCACAGACGTCACTCGTGGGAGCGATGGGCTATGCCACCCAGCCTAGGGGTAAATGAGGTGCACCTTCCAAGAGCCACCTAATCACCATTTCCCAGAATGCATCCTTGTTGTTAAGGGGCCCGTGACTGTATGTCTTGGGAAGCAACACGTGACTGTTGTCCCGCCCTGCACTGACTGCCCAGCGAGCGCTCAGAATGCATTAGATATGGGGTGGACAGAGGAGGAGGACAGCACCAGCACCCAGACAGCAACTTCCCTTGGAATCACCATTTCCTGAACCAGGGGATCTCCCCAGCCACCCACACCAAAGCCTAAACTCTCATACCTCCTCTCTCTAAAGCAGGGGTCTGCAAGCTTTCTCTGCAAGGGCCACGTACAGAATCTTTTCAGTTTTGTCGGAAGTACCCACGTCTGCCCTTTTGGTGCCAAAGCCAGTAAAGGTGACACATAATGAGAGGGAGGCGCCGTGTGCCAATGGGACATGTGTGCCAATGGGACTTGACTCACAGACACCAACATTTGAATTTCATCTAATTTTTACATGTCATGAAATATTATTCTTTTTATTTTTTTAACCAGTAAAAAATGTTCTTAGCTCGCTGGGCTGGAGAGAAATAGGTTGCAGGCTGGATTTGGCCTGAGGGTAGTTTGCTGACCAAGGGAAAGGGAAAAAACCAAACTTGCTCTAACCCACCTCTCTCCCTCCAGTCCCATGCAGTCCCACTTTCCTTATTTTTTTATTTTTTATTTTTATTTTATTTTATTTTTTTGAGACAGGGTCTTGCTCTGTCGTCCAGGCTGGAGTGCAGTGGCACGATCTCAGCTCACTGCAATTCTCCTGCCTCAGCCTCCCAAGTAGCTGGGACTACAGGCGCCCGCCACCATGCCCGGCTAATTTTTTGTATTTTTAGTAGAGATGGGGTTTCACCATGTTGGCCGGGATGGTCTTGAACTCCTGACCTCAGGTGATCCGCCCACCTCAGCCTCCCAAAGTGCTGGGATTACAGGCATGAGACACCGTGCCCGGCTTTTATTTTTTATTTTTGGGTAAAAACAAAATTATCTCCACCATTAATTTTTCTTCCTTTTGACTTGGTTTTCTATTACACAGGTAACTCTGTTCTCTCCACTGAAACGCCGCCATTACCATGTGCTCAATTCCCAAACACATTCGAGTCTCTTTATTGATTCAGTTCCACTCCATTGATCTTCTTGGTTCTTCCTGCACCAGGACCAAAGTTATTACAGTTAATAATACATGGAGGCTTATCTTTGTGCAGATTTCTTTGTACCGGGATTTTCAGAAGACTTTCCTAGCCCTGGAAGGCTGGTGTAAAAGAAAGGTTTCTTTCGGCCGGGCACGGCGGCTCACGCCTGTAATTCCAGCACTTTGGGAGGCCGAGGCGGGCGGATCACGAGGTCAGGAGATCGAGACCATCCCGGCCAACATGGTGAAACCCCGTCTCTACTAAAAATACAAAAAATTAGCCGGGCGTGGTGGCGGGCGCCTGTAGTCCCAGCTACTCGGGAGGCTGAGGCAGGAGAATGGCGTGAACCCGGGAGGCGGAGCTTGCAGTGAGCTGAGATCGCACCACTGCACTCCAGCCTGGGAGACAGAGCAAGACTCCGTCTCAAAAGAAAAAAAAATAAATAAATAAATAAATAAATAAATAAATAAAGACAGGCATAAGAAATTATAAAAGTATTATTTTGGAACTGATAAATGTCCATGAAATCTTCACAATTTATGTTCAGAGATTGCAGTAAAGACCGGCGTAAGAAATTATAAAAGTATTAATTTTGGGAACTGATAAATGTCCATGAAATCTTCACAATTTATGTTCCTCTGCTGCAGCTCCAGCTGTTCCCTCCATTCAGGGTCCCTGACTTCCTGCCACCACGCCCAGCTAATTTGTTGTGTTTTTAGTAGAGACGGGGTTTCACTATGTTGGCCAGGCTGGTCTTGAACTCCTGACCTCAGGTGATCCGCCCACCTTCGCCTCCCAAAGTGTTGGGATTACAGGCGTGAGCCACCGTGACTGGCAGGAGCGGCTTTTTAAAGCTGTCATTGGTGAAGAAGTAACAGCCACTGGTTTTGTCTGGGTGGGATGTCTGGTGCTTTGTGGCTGGTGCAGTGAGCTTGCTTCCACCCCTGCTTCGGTGCAGTGACGAAGTGGCCTCGCGTGGTCTAATTTAATCTCGGCCTCCGAGTAGCCCTGTCCAGGGCTGTATTCTGCGGGGCTGCTTATGTCCAGCAGGCTGTGAGTGCCCGTTAGCTTCCAAATGGCAGGGGCTTCTCTTTAAAAACTTATTTTTCTCAGAAGTTGTCATGGTCCTTGGTTGCTCCCCGTGGCCTTGTGTCCTTGCTTTCCTGGGATAGCCTCAATGCAAAATATTTTCCTCTCATCGACCAGAATGAACTGCTGGCATTTGGATCTGAAAATCTACATC